>NC_000004.12:118012290-118163805 GCF_000001405.40 Homo sapiens
GTTAGGCTTTCTCTTGTTCTCTTGCTCTCTTGCAGTCTCTTGCCCTTCCACTAGGGGATGACACAGCAAAAAGGCCCTCACAAGATGCAAACTACTTGACCTTGGACTTCTCAACTACTAGAATTACAACAAATGAATTTCTTATTATTATATATTACTCAGTCTGTGGTATTCTGTTATAACATCATAAAATGGAAGAAGAAAATTCCTAAGCTGGCCAGGCACAGTGACTCATGCCTCTAATCCCAGTACTTTGGGAGGCCATGGCGGGCAGGTCTGTTGAGCTCAGGAGTTGAAGACCAGTCTAGGGAACATGGTGAAACCCCATCTCTACGAAAAATACAAACAATCAGCAGGAGATGGTGGTGTGCCTGTAGTCCCAGCTACTACGGAGGCTGTAGTAGGAGGATCACGTCAGCCCAGGAGGCAGAGGTTGCAGTGAGCCAAGATCGTGCCACTGCACTCCTGCCTGAGCGAGAGAGTGAGACTCCATCTCAGAAAAAAGGAAGAAAATTCCTAAGCTCCTAAAATGTCTGAATATTCTGAATATACACCAAAAAGGATGGAATATGATTAGATGTGTAATTTATTCTATTATTTTCATTGTATATCATTGCTTTACAAGTTATTTACTATAAAATATAATCTTTATGATTATATATATGATTTTGCTGTAAGCAAACACATGTTTTGGAAATATGATGAATTATATGTATATAAGTAAATGAAATACACAGAACACATTTTATCAGATAAGGAAACTTAAGTGATGTGCTGCTGGATCATACGTATCTTCACAGCAGATTCACTGAAACCATCCAATGCCGCATATATTTCATATAGTGCTCTGAATCCATAATGTTAAATATGAGATGGATGGTGTCTAAGCTATAAACTACAAGAAGAAAATATTTTTAATGAATATTTTAATAAATCATCAATAAACCATTAGCTAACTGGCCACTAAAATGCAGTATACACAATTAAAACATTAGAAGACATTTTCAAAGAAAAAAGTCTTCAATTTACATGTCTCAAGCTAGTTATTTCTACTTTTTAACTTTTCTTCCAGGATATGTCCATATGGACTTGGATTTATAGTTGTGATAATCTTGTATGCAAAATTTTGCTTTTCACTTTTTGCCATTTAATCTGAATCATAAACACTTTTCCATGTTGAACCATTTTCATAATTTTTACTTAATGACACTATAATATGACATCAACTGGCTATACTGTAACTTAATTATTCTCATGTTAATAGTATTAATTTCATTCTAAACTTTCCATTATAATCATTGCTGTAATGAGCTTCTTTATATTCATAGATTTTTTTTATTCTTTCGAAGAGTTTCCTTGGAGTCTATTCCCAAGAGTGGAATTACAGAGTCAATGAATATAAACTTTTCTATGGTTTATGATATATAGTACCAAGTGTTTTCCAAGAGGTATGAGAATACACATTTAATGTACCAGCTTTATTGGGAACCTGCCAGCATCAAGCTATTATCATTTTTAATGTTTATGCTCATTTAAAAGTTGTTAAAATTGCCCCATTATTGTTTAAATTTGCATTCCTTTGAATATTAGTAATACCAAAAATTGTAATATGGGACTTCATATACTAGATCAAACAATTAGATAATCAGTTTTCCTTTTCCTAAATAGAGAGAAGTGAAATGCCCTCATAATGAATCTTAACACCATGAGGATGCTGGAAAAAGAGAAAGAGATTGAGAAAGAATTTCCTCAGTTTATTCCAACTTGGACTAAGATAAGCATAATCATTTGTTATGAAATCACCTATCCACATGGAATTATTTTTCTAGAGGTGACTCCCATAATGGGGCATTCTAATATTCCAAATATACTCAAAGGTTAAATAACCTTTTGCTACATTATATTTTCATGTAGCTCTGAAATAGTACTTTATACTTGAATTATAGAAAATTAGATGCATTTAAATTTTCTTTGTATGGCTGCCTTGAATAAAAAAACAGTATTTTTAATTGATTGGGTTCACAATAACTAGGAAACATTTCAGAAAATTCAAATGCAGCTTCAACTTTAGAATAGCAACTAAACCCAGACTATTTGGCTGTGAGGGTTACTAAAGATGAGATATTTTCAACTGCCTCCAGCGAAGTCCACACTTCCTGCTTTTTTCTCCATGTGCTGTTGCAGATAGATGTCTCTTAAGCTATTTATCCGGTTAATTGCAGCTACGTATAACATCCCCCTGATTTCAACTATCAGTAGTTTATGAGAAGAGTTTATTTCACCAAATGGATTAGTCATGCTAAAGACTCCTTGTAGATGCCCCTAAATTATTTTTCTGTACAGTTTGCTTTAACCAAAACAATAAATATAATACGTGTAAGAAAAATGTTATGAAATTGAGTTCCAGAGTTGAATAAAATAACTATCCAAGTATTATCCCAGCACTTTGGGAGGCTGAGACAGGCGGATCACGAGGTCAGGAGTTCGAGACCAGCCTGCCCAACATGGTGAAACCCTGTCTCTACTAAAACTACAAAAATTAGCCAGGCATGGTGACACACGCCTGTAATCCCGGCTACTCAGGAGGCTGAGGCAGGAGAATCACTTGAACCCGGGAGATGGAGGTTGCAGTGAGCTGAGATCACTCTGCTCCTACATTCCAGCCTGGGCCACTGCACTCCAGCCTGGGCAACAAAGCAAGACTCCATCTCAAAAAAAAATAACTGTCCAAGTATTAATATTAGTTATTAATATTAATAAGTTATTAAAACTTATTAGTTATTAAAAGATTAATAAATATTTTACTGTAAAATATTAATTAGCTATTAAATATAGTATAAAATTAGTATAATAATATATATTTATCTTATATTTAAATTATATTTTTATTTTTATATAATTTTTATTAACATTTAAATAAATATAATCATACAATATTTATTATATAACATTATATAATAAATATAAGGAATAAATAAAAATACAGTATAAAATTATTATAATAAAATGTTAATTAGTTATTAAAACTTAATAGTTATTAATATTAGTTATTAAAACTTATTCCCCATTCTTTTTCTTTAAAATAATGATTTAAAATGAACCAATAATAAATATTTCTTTATAATGTTGAAAATGAGGTAATTTTCTTCACTAAGTATATCATTTGCAAAAATTGTTTTTCAGTTTTGTTTCACCAGACTTATATTTTAGCAAATAAAATTTAACTGCATATTGGGAGAATTGTCAGTTACAATAAAGCTAGTTCCTATGATTTTTGTACTATGGATTATGGTTTCTAGAAAAGTCAGCCCAATAAGTATTTTACATTCCTTTTGAAGAATATTACCCCAAAAATGTAATCTAATCAGGATCCATTTCATCAAGTAACATTATAGTTAAAAACTAAAAATATTAAAGGAGTAATCCAGGACAACACATAATGTATGTTTACTGAAGAAGGAAGGAAGGAAGGTAGGAAAGGAAAAATGAGTATTTCAATAAATAAAATTTTTATGTGATAGGTTAAATTAATAAGTCAAATTTTAAAATATAGTACTATCTGAGAGGCTGAAAATGTTTTGCCTTTTGATTAAAAAGGAAAATTAGTTAAGTTTGGAATAAAATGAGTTATCCTTAATGTAATCAATACAACATAACACAAAAAATTACCCAATGTCAAATACCAAGGATATTCCCATTTACACTGGAAAGAAGTTAAGATTGTTGTCTATCAAACTAAAAACTAATATTGACCTGAAATTTCTTTCTAGTGCCAAAAATAAACAAAAGAAACAGCTAATACATATATACATATGTATTCAATTGGAAAATAAAGATCAAAATTATAATTTTATTATTTGTTTGCCTAGAAAACTTAAAAGAACCAACTATAAAACTTTTAGATTTAATTTAAAAAATTCAACAAAGCAGCTGGATAAAAATACAGAGATTTCAATACTTTTACTATTCATATTACAATGAGGAGTAACAAACAGTTTTAAGACTCCCATTCACTCACAATAACAAAATATGTGAAATAAGAAAACATAATCTTGACCTGAAGGATGTACATATAAAGAAAATTTTAAAACCTCTTACTATAAAAGAATTTTTAAAGACTAAAATAAATGAAGACACATTCCTAAGTGAAAGCCAACAGTCTAGATATATTAATTATCTCAAATAATATTCAGATTAAATAAGTTATAATCAATAATTATTAGTAAATAGCAACAAAATAAATTATGAAATATTTCATGCCTGAAAATAATTCCACAATTCATAAGGAAGAATAAACAGGCAAATTTTTGAAAAAGAAAATTTTAAAAATATGAGACCATAACTCTATTCAATATTCAAATGTGTTATAGAACCACAATTACGAATTTGCTATGGTTCAAGGCTAGACATGTTTCATTGAAACAGAATACAAAGCTTATATAAGGTGCATTTAACAAATAATGAAAGGATTATCACAAATTAGTAGGAAAGGAGTGGGTTATTTGATAAATGATATTGTAATAATTAGCTATTTTGGATGAAAAATAAAAACAAAGGAATCACTCACTTACCATCATCCACCAAAATTAATTCCAAAGAATTAAAAATATAAACATGAAATGGAAAATCGTAATATTCTAGGAGAAAATGTAGGTAAATATTTTTCTGATTTCTGGTTGGAGAAAGAAATTCTAAGGATAAAATCAATGGGGAAAACCCATAAAGGAAAGGAAAGAGATATTTACTTAACTATGTAAATATTAAAAGTGTCTGTATATCAAAAAAGCATAAAAAAACTAAAAGACGGAAAACAAAGTCAAATATATCAAAATAATAGATAATTAATATATAAAATTCTTCTGAGAATTATTGAGAAAATCCCTAAATACCAAGAGAAAAATAAAACAATAAATGTACATACAGGTCAGAGTAAACAAATTATTATAAATAATAAATTTTTAAAATTTATCTTCATTAATAATTAAATAACTGCAACTTAAAACAACTGTGAAATTTTATATTTTACCTATCAAATTTCCAAAAATGTGTCAACTGTTAAGTAAAATGTAAGAAAAAACTCACACGTTGCTATAAAGAGTATAAATTGGCACAACCTGCCTAAAAAGCAAATCCTAAATATGCATCAAACATTGTAAAAACACTCATATTTTTTGAAGTTCTTTCTCTGGAAATCTAGCCAAAGAAATAATTACAGATATGAACAACGATGTATATATTAAAATGCCATTTTGCACATCTATTTTACAATATTTATAACAGCAAACTATTGGAAATAAAAAAATTCAACAATACAGAAATAATCTGATAATCCACTTACATAAAAAGTCATTTGTATGCATATATGTGCACACATATATATGTATACATATATTCATTTTTCTAATTTCTATAATATATATGCATAAATATACGGAAAAATATTGAATGAAGGTATTAAAAAGTCGACTTTTTTTAAAGTTCTAACATGTATTGTCTTAATAATCAAAAAAGCAAAAAACATTTAAAACAGAAAATTTTAATTTGATGCTATTTATTCATTTTAGAGCATACTCATACATAATTACATTAAGAAAGCAATCACTTACCTGTTCTGAACAGTTAAGAACTGATAGTATCTTAGAATGTATGAAAGTAATATTTTTCTAAGCAGCTTGATGAAAAGCCTATGTTGTTATTTTAAATTTGGGAATTAGTTGATATATAATTTCCTCTCATTTTTGTGCCCTTTAGATTTCCTTCCATATCAGAATACTTGAATTGTTCTATCACTTATCTATATTTCTTCATTCTTTGGTGTCTACATCATTAAAATGAGATAGGATTTGACAACAAGCTTATAATCAATTAGATCACCACTTTGCTGCTGGACATGGAGCAAGAACTGTTGCAGAAAATGCAGTTCATTGACTGGCAAAAAATTTTAGAGGTCTTCTCTTGTTTACCTTTAAACTTTCAATTACAAAATCAAATTAAAGTTTTTTTAGTATTTTAAAATTAAACCTTTACATCCCAAATAGACTGACATCATATTGCTACTTATCTCTAAAGCAATTTTATCTGAAGCTTTTCTTTTTCACAAATATGAATAACTGTATACTTTTTCTAGCAATAAGATATATACTACTTAAGTTTTGGAACAAATAAGCCTTTCAGTATCCAAATTACTTAATTGTCTTTCCCATTTGACCTTTCATCACATCAGCAGAATCAAACAGGAAAAATCAAAGGACCTCCACAACCCTAAACTTAAAAGCATCAGGAAACAGATTTTATGCAAAATATTTCCCTGAGGCTAAAGGATGAGATCACATAGTCTTCCTTTGGTTTCTTAGCAGCTTAATTCTTTGCCTTGGCACTTTCTGATAAAATAGCACTCAGACTATAAATGATAATACTCTATAGAGTGATAAATTGGAGTGAGCTTGTCCATTAAACCACAAGATAGTGTGCATTTATGAAGTTAATGACAAATGATCTCTTTCTGTGTCAATGCATTACTTAATTCACTATAATTATTGATCCCTAAAAGCTATTCTTTGTGCTAAAGTGCTTTAGTCAAAGTGCCTTAATAGAAAGTTCATTAGTGACCTCATAAAATGGCACACACAAGCTAAAGAAAAATAATTAGAGGAGTTAAGTCACATAGAGCAACAACATGAATATGACATACACCATTGGAAATATTTCAATAGAAATAACATATGAACAAGTAGTATAAAGAGCAGTCTAAAGCTTGCAGACACTGGGTTCTGTCCAAAGTGGAATCCAACTCAGATTTCCTGCAGGGATACTGCAGTGATCAATCATATAGCAGACATCAGAAAGTGGAAAAACAAAGGTAATATGTTAAAACACATTTTTAGTAGACCTCAGACCAAGACCTATAAATCTACAAATATTGAATTTAGAGGGGAAGACTATGTCCCTGTATAGTACAGTAATTATTATTTATCTAATAAGGTATATGGCATGCTCAGGTGTCCATAAATCATTTGATGTTTGTTTCATTTGTACCATAAGTAGCTTATAGGAGTACTTGGGATATGGCTGATGTCAAAGAGAAGAAATACTACTGCAGCTAGACACGGAAAAGTTATACTGTATTCCTTTGCTAAAGGAACAGTATTCATCTTTATGATTCACCTCTATGATTAGGAACAAGTTCCAATCAGCAGTTGGAATTAGATAAATTAGAGATGATGTAACTTGAAATTTTATACTAAAAAACCCTTATTCTAACAAACAATATGGCTTAGTAAGCATTACGAAACAAATTCAAATTCTAGTTGTTCTAAATTTACTCTAGAATATTTTTAGTAGGTAATATAACAATAGAGACAAATTCAATTAATCATTTTATATGTGAGAAAGTCTTACAATCACATCTCAGAGATAACATACACAATCAGTAGATTATGCATCAATTATTTTCTAATAATTAATAATTCATTTGATATCATAGCTTAAGTATTTATCCCCAAGTTCTTTTATTGTTCTTTTACTATACTTCTGCCTTCTTGTGAGGGCATTCCTTGGAGATCTGTTTTAAAGCTATTATGAGAAAGATTAGAAGGAAATACATTATAGAAGGCACATGTTGAACAATATCATGTGTCTAAGAAAGAGGTCAAATAGATTGATGAGCCCTTTTAAAAGGACACTTAGAAAAATGACCACAGATCGGCTGATTTTTGCAATGCCGTCTGTTGCAATTATTTTTTACCCACTTTTGAAAAAGAACTCTCATGACATCTAATGCTATGACAACTCTAGTGCTGTGACTTGCTTTTGAAAAAAAGTTTGTTATAAGTCAATATTAAAGCAGTGAGAAACACATCTTGAAATGTTCTTAGGTATATTTAATATTCAGATTTAAGTTTCTTATTATTTTATCTATGCATTTTAGGAGATGAGAAAAATTCTATTCTCCTGAATCAAAAGCCAATGACTAAAGCTCAAATCTCAAATCTAACCTAACATCCAGGTTCCAGGTTGGGAGAGTACCCAATTGGTGGTGGGAAAATGAAGATTAATTTTCAGCCAGTGCTTTTTACAAATGGCAGTTCCACATAGGCAGCATTATTCCCAAGACAAAATGAATTATATTTTTCCTTCTTACTACTGCATATAGGCCTCGGGCTGTATGTCTTCTTTTAATATTTTTCCATTCATATTATGTTTCATGAAAAATTTCCATCTGGTCTCTCCAGTGTAATACTTGGGGATGTGAGATATAAAGATATTTAGGGCATAAGAACAGGATAGTTCACAGTGTGATTGGTCTCAGGCCTCAAATATTGTCTCAGATAACCATGTAAAGCATACTTGATTGCAAATCTACATATTCCTTTCTTATTCTGCATTTTAAAAAATTCTTTCATACAGTAGTTTCCTTATAGTTTCAAAGGAAGTATGTGTTTTCCCTTGCAATTTAGTCAGGATACTACGGGAAGAGAAAAAAAAGATGTTAATAAGAAGCAGTAATATATTATTTTTTAAATCAAACTAAAATACTACCCAGGAATTTTATAAGATTCTGCTGCCCTATGGAGCTTGTGGCACTTACAGGGGTGAAGATTCATCGTCATCTCTGATTTTAGTACCCCACTCGATAATTTCATTTTATTATTCTCTTCATCCCTCTTCAAGGCTCTTCAATCTTTCCAGTTTTTATTTTCAGCGTTTTTCTTCAGCATCAAAACCTTAGTGAAATAAAACCTGACTGTGGAATCATTATAGGATTTGCCGGCAGTGGGATTGTTAAGATCGTATGAGCATCTCCTTCATCTCTGTTATATCTTCGTTCTTTTAAGGGCATAACATAAAACTAATATCATGCCTTTTGTGGGAAGAAATATTTTTCTGTATGTTCTAAAACAGGAGCAAGAGAAATCACACAGCACTAAATCCTGAAATTTTTAGATCAAAGATAGCACAGATAAATAAAAGATGGCTACAATGTCTACAAGGTTAATCACTGACTATGCGCACAGATTATAATTTTTCATTTATAGAGATGATAGTAATTTAAACAAACCAACTACTGTACCCAAAAATATGGCACATAAGGACTAATGGAATCACTAGAGCCAGGGAATAAAAAGATACTTACAGTTCCTAAACATTTCATGGCTTCACCTCATAGATAAGGAAAATTTAAAAAGAAGACACAGGAATTTAAACTTCAGAGTGCACAGAAATCACTTAAGGTGAGAGGTAAAACTATAGTTCCCTCACGCTCCTATCAAAGATTCTAATTTAATACGTCTAGGCATAATGTGGGGGAATTTGCTTTTTAGCAAATGTTCTAAATGATTCTGATTTAGAGACTCTGTTTGAGAAACACTTAAATGAATGGGTAGAACTCAGGGCCCTTGACTCCAAGTTCAATATTGTTTCTGTTACCCTACAAGATTTCTGACTTTTATGGATTTTTTAAACTCACTTTTAAACAAGGTGCTTTAAACCTGATACCTAAGTTGAACACATTAAAATTCCTAACTGACCATTGAGTTTTGACCATCACTTACAGAAATCAGTAACTAGAAACTTCATTCTCTCTTCCACCTTGGCTCCATCCATTTAGTTACACAGCTGTCACTTTGACTATTTCCATATTATCGTGGTTCTGGCTACAGAGTGGAATGACTAAGATCTGATTGGTGGTTACTAATCACAAATATAGCTGGAGACTCCAAAAGTGACTTGGACTAGAACAGAACCTCTAACTAGTGGTGAGTTTATAAGGATAACACTACCTTGAACAAGAACTGCCCTGAGAACATATGAGAGACTGGCAGCATTTGATTTAACATCATTAAATGTACTCTGGTAAAAAAATAAAAAATAAAAAAAAACTGTACCTCACTGAAACTGGAAATTATTTTTAAAATGGAAAATCATTAAAATACTTTACCTCCTGTGAAACTTAGATAATAAAACCACAACAAAATAGAATCTGGAGTGACACATCAAATGTATGAAACAATTTTCCCATGAAGAGGAAAAAATAAACCTCCCCACCTTCAACCAGCTTCATACTTTACCTCCTAGAGGCACAGTCCCTGCATGTTCTACCTTAATCAATTAGAAAAACAACCACATCTAAAATTATGTCAAGTGTAGGAAATGTAGAAAGTTTCTTTTACTTTCAGAGTGAGAGAGAAAGCAGAGTTATTTAGCTAGGGATAATTATCAGCTTTTTGACATTTAAACACAGAGCTTTTAATTCTTTAATTATCTGCTATGTATTTAAAATACCACACCTCCAAAAATAAGTTTCTTTTCACAAGAATGAGAATAGCTTGTCCAAAGGAATTAAAGGACCAGAATTGAAGCCTTCATTCTACCACTAACTTGAACCTCCAAAAGCCTCAGTTGCTTCACCTGTATAATAATATGTGGAATCATCTAAGAGTTCAATGAGATTAAATTATAAAAGCATTTGCAAAGCATAAAGTCATCTTCTTACATCCCATCTATATTTTAATTTTCTAGTTATGGAATCTACTTCAGTTTTTTAAAGTTTCTAATATAATTATAAGGCATTGTCAAATTTTTTAAAGGTTCAAACTACCCCACTAAATACACTGAACTGTGCATCATGGGACCCTGCCATCAGTGCTCCCATTGTCCTATAGTACAAAGTCACAGTGAAACACCCTGGAGCATTTTAGAAAAAGACCACTTCAATTTGGTTATTGTCTTAGTCCATTTTGTGTTGCTATAACAGAATACCAAACACTGAATAATGTATAAAGAAAAGAAATTTACTTCTCACAGTTCTGGAGGCTGGGAAGTCTAATATCAAGATGCCAGATCTGATGGGGGCCTTCTTGCTGAGACATTCCATGATACTAGGTGAGAGGATAAGAGAGAGAGAGCAAGAGGGGCCAAACTTGTTTTTATAATAAACCCACTGCCACAATAAGGAACCCACTCCAGAGATAATGAAATTAATGCATTCATGAAAGCAGAACCCTCATGACCTTCTGAAAGGTCCCACCTCTCAACACTGTTATATTAAGGATTAAGTTTCCTTAATACACATGAACTTTGGGGGACACATTCAAACCATAGGAGTTATCTATACTCTGTGAAGTACTCTTGAACATGAAAGCCTCTGAGTGTTAACTGACACTTTCATTTTGAATTGGAGGGTCTCTATAAATTACCAACAGTTTTTAAATGTCATATTGTACTCCTTACTTTTTTCTTTAATTTTCCTTACTTCCAAAGGAAATATAGTGTGATTACACAGACAAGATTGCTTCTATCAAGAACAATACACATGAAATGCAATCCCCAGAACTATACCTGCTTAATATGACTTTAGTTCAGAAGATGAGATTGCTACAGAATTCCAGAATTCAGGTTTATAGTTCCTCATTTTATGTACTCTTCTTAAATCTTTCCCCATGCATGAATTAAACTCACAGACTTTTCACTGAAAACAATCTTACTTTTTTTAACAAGTGCAAAATATAGTCCTTGAATTTTTGTCTATATTTATCAATTAACTGCCCTAGAAAAATGCAGCAGAAGAGAGTAGAAGAGAGGTGAGGACAAGAATGTCCTATTCATCAGGGAAAAGTATCAGGTACTTCATGTCATCTAAGTAGTGTGGATAGAAAATTACCTGGGTTAGGAAATGGAGAAATCACAGAAGTCTGAGTTAATCTAAGAGAGTTCATGAAGAAGTTGAGAGTTAACTGAACTTTAAAGGAAAAGTCCAATTAGGTAAGTCCAGAGCAGGGTAGAGTGCATCATAAGCTGGAAAGTTGAGAAAAGGTGTGGAAGAGGGAGCTGTCTTATTTGTCAAACTAATTTGCCAGGAACGAAGATTTGCTTTAGGGATAAATTTATAAAGATAGATGGGCACTATTATGTAGAGGATTAGAACTACTAAGAACCTTGGATTTGATGAGAATTTTTAAAAGAAAACTCTCAAACTAAGATTTAGCCAATCTTCAAATTTTAAAAAGCTATAATTAATAATATAGTAAGTTCAAATTTGCGTAACTTTTAAGCTAGTGATAGAGTTTGGCTTTGTGTCTCCACCCAAATCTCATCTTGAATTGTAATCCCATAATCCTCATGTGTCATGGGAGGGACGTAATAGAATGACTGGGGCAGTTTCCTCATGCTGTTCTCATGACAGTGAGTGAGTTCTCATGAGATCTGATGGTTTTATAAGTGTCTGGCATTTCCCCTACTGGCGCTCATTCTCTCTCCTGCCACCCCATGAAGAGGTGCCTTCTGCCATGATTGTAAGTTTCCTGAGGCCTCCTCAGCCCCACTGTGAGTCAATTAAACCTCTCTTCTTAATAAATTATCCAGTCTTTGATATTTCTTCATAGCAGAGTGAGAATGGACTAATACAAATCTCATTTGAAAATATTAGCAAAATTACACCATATATATGTACAAATTTAAAAGTTAAGTAATGACCTGAGATGCGTCAGTGAACAAACACAAAAAAATCTAATTTGGGTACCTAAAATAAGCTATATTAATAGCCAATTGTTAGAAATCTGACTTCTTTTATGTTCAGTTATTGAGGTCAAATTTCTGAACACATAAATATGTGGTCTAAATTGACTTTTTAAAAATACTTAAATTTAATGAAAATAATAAATGGGATATTTTCCCTCTTTTATGCCACATGCTGGTTTGATTGGATTTTTATATCACCACCAGATGTTTTAAAGTAATTTGACAAAAACTTTGTCTTATAAACCTAGAAGCCATGACATTTAAATGTCACAAATATTTGCTACAGAGGTCTTCATTTTCAAAATGTTAGATCAAAATACTAAAAAGAAGTATACCAAAATATTAATAGTGGATGTTTTTGAGTGTAAAGTAATGGGTAATATTTCTTCTTCTGTATATGTTGTACTTTCCAAATCACCTATAATAAACATGAATTCTTATTATAGTAAACAGTAAAATAAAACAAATGCTAATTAACAGTACTTATTGTACTATTTGGAATAATTCAGCATCACATGATAGAAAATGCAAAATAACAATGGCTCAAACAAGACAAATGCTTATGTTTAGATGAATACCCTTCAGGAACCTGGATCTCTTTCAGCTCAAGGATTTATCATCTTGAAAATGACACTCCAACTTCTTGATTCAGTAAGGCTGTAGCAGAATTCTAAGCAACAAGATGAAAGAAAACATGAAAAAAGAAAAAGGGCAAAGAGTATGTGCCAGCTGCCTCTGAAGGACTGTATTAGTGCCACGTAACAAATTGCCACAAACTTAGCAACTTAGACAACAGACATTTATTATCTCATAGTTTCCCTAGGTCAGAAGTACAAAAACAGCTTAGCTAGTTACTATGCTTAGGGTTTCATGATGTTGCTATCATGGTGTTGACTGGGCTGCATTACAATCTGGGGTTTTGACTGAGGAAGAATCCATTTCCAAGCTTACTCAAGTTGCTATCAGAATTTATTTTTTGTGGCTGTGGGACTGAGGGCTTCAGGTTCTTGCTGGCTGTTGGCTGGAGGCTTCCCTGATATCCTAGAGTTCACAATTCCTAGAGGCTATCCATTATTTATTAAGGCCTCTTGCAGTTTCTTGCCACATGAGCTTTCCCAATGTGGCCATTTGCTTCATTAAGCCAGAAAGGAGAGCCTCTAGAGTTAGTCTGGTAGCAAGATGAAGTCTTATGTAACATAACATAACATAACATAACATAACATAACATAACATAACATAACATAACATAACATAACGAGTGAAATTCCATCACATTTGTCATATTCTATTAGTTATAAATAAGTCACAGGTCCTGTCAACACTCCAGGGGAGGGTATTTTACAAGTACTGAACAGCAAGGGGTGGGTACCATGGGGGCTTCTCCAGTGTCTGTCTGTCACAAGACAGTTCCCAGAAACAATAGCACAATCCTTCCTCTATAACCCATTGGCTAGAGCTGAGCCATACCTTGTTGGAAAATGTAGTCTTTCTTTCTGCATGGTTACGTGTCCTGTTACAGATGCTATTATTGTAGAGGAAGGGAAGACTAAATATTGAAAGACAACTAACAGACTGCCTTCCAATCAGAGATCTTCCAATCAGAAATTTTGTAGCAATTAGGTGAGATGAACACAACAGCACCTGGTAATCTCAGAGGTGGTCAAATGATGTCCTATGATTGTAGCTACTAAATTTACTACTAGATTTAGCATTATTAATAGAATAGAAACTAAATTTCCTTAAAAAAGAAAAGGGTTTGAATAGAAAATTATGTTCACTTCATTTTTACACTAAAATGTAAGTCTTAGGTAAGACGATTATATCTTATCTTATAGTTAATAGTTTCATTCTTATAAATATGACCAATCTGATAATCCCATATTTTAAAAAATATCATTTATCTACATATCTGTGTGCCAATTTCATAGCATTTTCTCACATGTTTTATTCTCAATTCATTCCTCTGATGGGTCCATTGTTCTCATTTACTAGGTGAGGTGAAGCAATCAGCCCAAAGTTAAGTAAGTGGCAAGTAGCATAGCCAGAGCTGGGCCCCAGGTCATGTAGCTCTACATAGATTCCATTAAACTATGTTGTCGAGAAATTGATTTCATTGAAGAATAAAAATGTGAATATATTAAGCATTTGGACAAATATTTGATGTTGGTCACACTCCAGAAATGTGGCAATATCCAGATAATTGATGACTTTGCATTTCATCTCTCTCTCTCTGCTTGCTGTGCTTGATGTAGCCCCAACCAAAAAAAAAAAAAAAAAACTGTTGCCCCCCTAGCATAGATAGGTATAAATAAAAAATAATTCTATTACCACCCCAAATCCTTTAACCCAGTTTAAATTTGTTTTCTTCTGCTGTAAGTACAAAGCTATTACAAGTTTTAGAACTCTAGAGTGTCTCTGCTAACCTTATGCTCCTGCCCTGATCAATAATAGAGTCTAAATTTGTAACTTACATATAATAAAGTCTAAATTCATAACTTATATATAATACCATAGGCACAAATTACTAGTAGAATCTTTCAAAGATTAATTCTTAAATATACTTTACCTAAAGGGCTTAAGGAAAATAAAATTTCAAGAATTGAATTCATTTGGCCAATCAATATTATTTACCTTTACCTTTTCCAGTGGGCTGAACTGTATCATGGGAAAGCAATATTAAATGATTATGGTTCCCAATAATTAAAATGAGACTTTGTAGAAAAATATTTTGTGCTTGACCATTAATTCTTGTAATTTCATTTCATTTAGGTGTTTGAGTGCTTGAGCTCAAGTGTGAGTTTTTCTTATGTTCCAGAATGCAAAAGATGTAGTGCAACACTTCAATTTAGCGCTGTGTGAACAGCGTCTCCATTGTCTATTTCTTCTGTTACTACTAAGGGTACTTGTTTGTGTGTTTGAGGGAGAAAAACCATATGCACAGACTGTTCCATTTTCCAATTAAATTTTCGTGTTTTATACTCACAGTACTCTAATTCTAATTCAAATGTTTGGTGGAGAATTCAGTCAAAAAGCCTCAAGCCTAACAATATTGGATTTGTCAATTCATAATGTACAGGGCATCTCAGTTTTCTTTGTTATTTCTCTTTTTTCTAACAACTTATCATATCACTTTTTCAAAAACATACTTTCAAAGGAGCTAAACTAAGTTAATTCATACAACTCCTACTTCTTGAATATGTATTTTCTTCAACCTCCTGAAATCCAAGGATGGGATATAATGGAAATACATCATTGTAATATGGTAGAGAAAATATTCTGGAGTGTTTATGAAGCCTGTTTTCAGACAAAATGAGAGAGAAATCATCCATTTTATTCTCACAATAAATCTCTCTTGAACTACATGGCATAAGGCCAAGCTATAAAATGATGTTTTAATGTTGCAAACTAGATCAAAGAAACACCTTAATGATATTTGGTCCTGCCTGAATATTACAAGATAGCTTTGAAGAGTCAAAGTGTTCTGCAATCTGATGATTGCTTCTATTTCTCCAATAAGATGGAACAAAATGACAATAATTTCAATAGTTTATGCTAAACTTATAGGTATGAATATGTTTTTAACTACCAAAGAGTCATCACCCAAGGCTTGTAATTAACTACATACCTATGATCAGCACATAAGAGTTTAAAATAGCCTCATGTAGGGAAAATAACTATTCTTGAGGAAAACGCATTCAGAATTTAAACAGAAAACAATGTGTAGAGGTAATTTTTGGCTTAGAATTTTTTTTTTATTAAGACAGGATAAAATAAGGTTATTTCCTTCAGCAGGGACAGTGTAAAACACTACCTATTCTACTAAGAAAATAATTTCTTTCTCTTCTTTAGTGTGTTTTAAATGATCATTGATGTGCAAGGCAGTGCCCCTGGAGCAGGGAGAAACACAAAATGAATCAGTAACAGAGGCAGCACTCGAGGTAAGAGTCTGGCATTCATTCTCCCATTTCCAAATTTTGCTATTTTTACCGTGACAAAGGCTGTATATTTTTGAATAAGTCATTTTATTTTCTTTGGTAGTTTGCCTAATTGATTATATGAAAAACTAATTAGAATACTGAATTTACTGTATATTTACCATGATAACTATAAAAGCAGAAAATTAGCTTTGAAAATCAAATAACATATTTAGTAACACACATTCATTTTTATAAACACACATAAAGACACCGGGTTCTCAGTAATGCTCTAGTCCAGGGGTTCTCAAAGTATGGCTTCAGACAAGCCCCATTTGCATCACCTAGGAAATTGCTAAAATGCAGATTCTCAGGCCCTACCTACTGATCTACTGAATCAGAAACTCTGAGGGTGAGACCAAGCAACCTGTGATTTCATAAGCCCTATAGCGATATTAAGGCACACTAAAGTTTGAGAATCACTGCTCTAATCTAGTATACTAAGCTTTAAAGTGGTGTTTCATAAAAATAAGATGAGACTTTAATACTACTAATTCAGCCTTCATTACTTTTCACAGGAAATGTCTGCAAGGACACTTAGAAGCAGGTGAAATTTATCTTTTTGTGGCTTTAGGGCAGCCAGAAAGGGGCATACCATCTCCTTCCTCCTTCCTCCTTCCTCCCAACCAATCATTTTGCTGAGATTTTTGGTTTTGATGTGTTTTCACTTTGCCACCTCTTGAGACAATCAAAGTTGGAGTACATTTCCTTGGGCTGAGTTAGCAGTTCCTAGCTAGAATACGATTTCTATTAAATCTTCACCCTATTACCTTTAAGCAGCTTAACAGTGTCATTAATTACTATAAAGTCCAGGCTGAAGATTTTTAAAGAAATTGTAATCTTATAGCTTATTAGCTGTTTCAGGTTAGAAATACTAACATGTCCTATATAAATACTTGTACTTTTTAATATTTGTCATAATAGAATAATATATGGCTTTAAACTAGACATTGAAAAATAGAAGAGACCTCTGGAAATTGAAATTAGTTTCCCAAAAGTCTTTTATAATCAGCACCCTCCACATAGAAGCATTTAGATAAAGGACAAAAAACCATCAAAAGATATAAATAATTTTTAACTTATATAAAGCATAAGTTATTAAATCTCTACATCACCATGAGTTGCTATTCAATGCCTTTGGCCTCAGTGACTAAATACAAGGATGATTTCAATATTAAAAGTACAAGTTTTACTCTTTTTTCTTCTTTTTAATGATTTCTTTTTTCTTTTCTTTTATCTTCTTTTTTTTTTTTTTTTATTTTTTTTGAGATGGAGTCTAGCTCAGCTGCCCAAGCTGGAGTGCAGTGGCACAATCTCGGCTCACTGTAATCACCATCTCCCGGGTTCAAGCTATTCTCCCGTCTCAGCCTTCCGAGTAGCTGGGATTACGGGCACCGCCATCATGCCTGGCTGATTTTGGTATTTTAGTAGAGACAGGGTTTTACTATGTTGGCCAGACTGGTCTTGAACTCCTGACCTCAGGTGATCCGCCTGCGTCGGCCTCCCAAAGTGCTAGGATTACAGGCGTAAGCCACCACGCCCACCCCTTTTTAATGATTTCTATAGGGATGTAATTTACAAGCAGATGCTTCCTTTTGTGTCTGAAGCTGGGATGCTAATAAAAATATTTCATATTGTTTCAAGGCTTCTCAGAGTTTAGCAATAGTTGAGCCTCTTCCATTTTTTGAGATTCTCAGTATTTATGTAAATAGTAATAACAGAAATGCCAAAGGTGGTTACAAAAACTGTAGTATATCCCAAAAGGTTAAACTAAACATAATCAATTGATCCTATTAAAAAAATATTGCACAAGTTCAGTCCGGGCACGGTGGCTCACGCCTGTAATCCTAACACTTTGGGAGGCTGATGCAGGTGGATTACCTGAGCTCAGGAGTTAGAGACCAAGCTGGGAAACACTGTGAAACCCCGTCTCTACTAAAATAGAAAAAATTAGCTGGACATGGTGGCATGTGCCTGTAATCCCAGCTACTTGGGAGGCTGAGACAGGAGAATCGCTTGAACCTGGGAGGCAGACATTGCAGTGAGCCAAGATCGTATCACTGCACTCCAGCCTGGGCAACAGAGTAAGACTCCATCTCAAAAAAAAAAAAAAAAAAGAATATATATATATATATATATATATACATATATGTATTGCACAAGTTCATTTGGAGATGACTCTATTTGAAGTGCTTCACAAATGTCTGGCCCTGAATCAGATGGCCTTCTCCACCTCTACTTGGGCACTGCCACAGTGTTAGACTAAATAGGAATACCTCTCTGGAGGAAAATTTTTCGCTGGCCTTAATGTCCCTGGGTTAGGAACAGAAGATTGGAAGGGAGGGCTACAGGGGGCAATGGTTGGCCCTGATGTCTGTCCCTTCTTACCTCTCTGCTGGGCACGCAGCCCAGGAGTGAAAGGAAATATAGGCAACATATCAATCTGCTATTACACTGGCTTAGACGACATATGTGTGCAGATGAGGACTTCTCTAATAGAGGTGTAAGATTTGAGGATCTCATAGGAAAAGACAGCATGATCCTAAGCTGTTTGTAATTCCAGATGGATGGTTGGAAGGAGCAGTAGCTGGTAAAGGTAACAACTCTCCCAAAAACAATGAGAAATTTGATTATGTCTCCTATCCATCTTAGCTGAAGAAAACCCCAAAATACAGTCATAAGAATAGTAAGTATCTTATTTTGTAGAAGAAGTTTTTCTGGTTTTGTGTTTTTGTGCAGAGGAGGTAGAAAAAGAAAAGAAAAAGTGAATATCATTTCTGAATCTGCCTACATTCCCTGAAACATTTAGGAATTTATGAATTCATGAATCTTGTCTATTCTCTGAAATCTTGTAGAAGAGCCTGACCTCCTACAGCTATATCAATATAAGCGACTGAAGGGCAGAGAGTGGTCCTGCTTTTCTTTTTTCAATATTATTGTATTCCCAGAGCCATTTAGTAGGTGTTCAATAATTTTTTTGATTACTAAAATGATGAATGCATGGCTGCTCGGAAGACAGAGCAGGCTCTCTCTTGGGTAAGGAGTACATAGAAAAATAAATGTGGGTTCTTAAAATTCTTAAAAGGCACAAGACTTCCAGGGAACACTCCAACTAAAAAATAAATAAAACCAATCTAATACATGTTACTTGGCCAAAGAATTCTAGCATCCTGACATTTTTGTGGGCTTCCAGAAGGAGCAATTGGTTCAGTCACATCTGTAACCCCTCCATCACATAGAACAAAAAGGATATATAACTTCCTGATTTTAAAACACAATTCCAACTAACCCTTTCAGGACATTGGGTTCTAATTGAAGGTCTTGAACTACGAATCCAAATACCCTGATAAAGTTAATAAACAACCAGAATATTTAATTACTGTATCATCGTTTGTGTCTCTTTCAGTTTCAAGGGACAGCAAATGCAGTCCAAGCTGCCTTAAGACAAAAGTGAATGTGGCCAGTCGCGGTGGCTCAAGTCTGTAATCCCAGCACTTTGGGATGCCGAGGTGGGCGGATCTCGAGGTCAGTAAATCGAGACCATCCTGGCTTACACGGTGAAACCCCGTCTCTACCAAAATACAAAAAATTATCCGGGCCTGGTGGCGGGCTCCTATAGTCCCAGCTACTCGGGAGGCTGAGGCAGGAGAATGGTGGGAACCCGGGAGACGTAGCTTGCAGTGAGCTGAGATCACGCCACTGCACTCCAGCCTGGGCGACAGAGCGCGACTCCGAATCAAAAAAAAAAGTGAATGTATTTGTTTATGAATGAAAATATCCAGAGATAGAACTTATTTCAGCTACAGCTCGATTCCAAGCTCGAAAATCTCCATCTGGGTTTCACTTTTCTCCAACTCTCAGTTCTGCCTTCCTGAGTATCAGCTTTATTTTCAGACTTCAAGCTCTAAGCTCACATCTTCATTATGCAAAGTCCAGTAGAAGAGAGTCCACTTTCTTAAGAGAGGAAGGAAAAAAAAAAGTCCCAGAATGGTGGTTTTTTTCTGTTTTTCTCTCTGATTGGCCAGACCTGGGTTACATACCTACCCATGCTACCAGGACAGAAAGCCATCACTGGCCAGACCTGAGCTGTGGGTCTACCAGTGAGTCAGCAGCGGCTGACATCACCTAAAGCAAATGGGCTGCGGGGTGAGATCAAGTGGTTGGATCTTCCAAAATGAACAGGAGTACTGTTTCAACAAGAGTGAGTGCTGGGAAGCAAAACCACAAATGGCCAATACAAAGTATCATTAGTAGACCCCACTTAATACAATTCACATGTTAGTGGAACCAAATGAAATTTTTAAAAATATATATCATTCGATTCACACTTCTAATCAAACTATAGTTCTGGAGAGGGTAACCTCACACCTTGAATCCAAAATATCTCTTCAGTTGCTGGCCTTCCACTTGTCTTCAGGAGCTGAAACACATGGCATTTGAAAAAAACTGGCGAACAGAGGAAACTCTTGCAGCCTCGCAGCCGCCCTGGTCCAGTGCCAACGGCAGGAGCACCACAGGAAGGGACCGCGCGGGTGCGCCCCACCCTTCCAGCGTCGCCTCGGGGACTCGCACCCCTTTCCCTGGCCGCACAAGACGTTTCATCCTTGGCGGCCGCCGCCAACCCGCCGGGAGGGGCGGTCGGAACTGGCAGGCCGGGGCGGAACCCCCGGGGTCTCCTTGTCGAGGCCCGGGCAGCCAGATCCTCAGGGCCGGTCCGGGCGGGAGCCCGGTCGATGGAGGCGGCTCCCGTCCTCAGCTCCCGCTCCCTCCCCTTCCCCGGGGCGGGCGCGCGCGGGCCGGGAGCTGGGAGGCGGCGGCTCCCGCCCGGGAGGCGGTGGCGAGGGCGGCGGAGGCGCGGCCGGGCGGGTCCCAGGGCCGTGGTTCTCCAGCGCAGGAGTCCCCGGCGCACCCGCTGCGCTCGCCCCGCAGCCGCAGCCTGAGCGGCCGAAGTCGCCACCAGCTGTGTCCGCGCAGATCCCGGGCGCGGAGGGGAGAGGTCGCCCGCTTGTCGCCCCCGCCGGACCCCGGGCACCGCGTAGCACCCAAGCGCCACCCGGACGAGGGGCCCTGGGGAGCGGCTGAGGCCGAAGACCCGAGGGAAGGAGGAGCCCGCGGACGGCTGCAGCCCCAGGTAATCTCCATGGAGGACGGGGCCGGTCTCCTCGCCCAGAAACCCGATCCGGGCGCCTTGGAATGCGGACTCCAGAGGCGGCATCTCGACCAGACAAGTTTCTCGCGGCTTGGAATGAGGGAGTCCTGAAACCGACACTCGTTTTATTTAACCAGCTTTTTTCTCCTGTTTTAAATAAGTTTATTTAGACAATGGAAAGAAAAAAACAAACAGCCTCTTGAGTGACTGTGGGTTTGTAAATATAATCCTAAAAGTTTTTCATGGTGTGGTTATTTGCTTGCTCATATTTATTAACCTGTTAACTCTTCCGCTAGTCAGAAAATTGACATGTAAAATATTCTTTGAGGAACGTTACAAGTTTGCTGTTGTATTCGGGCATCCTGTTATTCATCAGCTTAGTTAGCATCTGTCTTCCCCCGAAGTGGTACCAAAGCCGGTCCCTTGGCGACGGGTCTTGCATGTGACACTCTTGCCCTCTAGTGCCTCACCAGCTTGGTAGCAGTTTGATGGCTAATATTAATAAGATGTTACATAACATGAGAGTACTGGGCCAGGACTGGTGTTGCTACCACTTGTAAAGTCAAAAAGCCTGAGCCGATGGTAACGAGTGGTACTGTTTCCGTTTCTTTTCCATCTATTGCAACTTTCTCAAGCATTTTCAGCTCTGAACTTTAATTCCAGGTAAGTGTATTTATTTATTTATACTGTGCATTAATGCCTCACTCATAAATGTAGGGGCTTTTAAGAGATAACAACTTTGCTTTCAAATAATCTAAAAATTTCAAGATTGAACAAGTGCTTCATTTTATTCTTGAAGAAGAAATATAGAGTATTTTGATTAAATTAAGTGAAACAAAGGACCGTCTCATTCAGGGATGATTTTAAAGCTTCCCTTTCATAAGATTATGGTACTAAAGAAATGACCTCTTGTAATTGTTTAAGATATTCACCAACTTATAATGATTCTGAAGTAGATCTGTTTAACAGAACACATGTCTGTTGCCTTGACAGAATTTTGTAAGGAATATCAGAGACTTTAAACTACCTGCCTATCTACACAGTAATGATCCTCAAAAGGCTTTCTATTTGATGCAGTTTATAGACATTATTTAAAACTATACAATTAATAAAATTAAATGGAAATGGAAAGAATCAATCTAGGTATCAAATACAGAAACTTTAAATTTAAAGAAAACAGATATATCTTCTATTTAATATATCCATTTTGTGGGGGCAGGTAAAAGCAAAGTTACATCTTTAAGGGGTTTACTCAGATCCTTTTTCAAATAGTTTTTCTAATAGCTGGATACTGTTTAAGCATCAGAGTTATTTAATGTCGAAAATGTATTAGTATCTATATTCTTTATAAACATATTGAAATATAGCAACATGTAATCTGGAAGAGTTTAGAAGAAAACCCTTCTAGACAATGCAAACAGCTACATTCTTAATACATTTGTATTAAATTAAAATACAAATCAAATATTGAGATGTGTGCAACTGATCTGGGACACACACTTTTTTTTTGTTTTTTTTTTTTGCCCTTAGAAAATTTCATGTTATCAACTACTGAGCAATGCTGTTCACCACCAGAGAGCAGGATGATATGGCAGAGAAACTCTAGAATATCCGATATTCAGCTGAAGGGAATTTTTTTCCCTTTTTCTTCATCCATACCTTCCTATCAATATTATATTTAAGATGGAGATTTCAAATATAAGTTTGAAGGAGGCTCCTTTTTAAAATAGTACTGAACATATAAAGAGGCTTGCCTAAGATAAGCTCTTTTTTTTCTTTCTCTGGTTAACACAGTATCTACCATTTCTAATTTTGTTATCATTTTTCTTTATCATCTTGATGGTAAAACAGAAGATTTGTTTCTTTGTGTAAATAATGTTAATTTTGAGCTTGTCACATGAGTTAATTTTCTTCATAGTCTTTAAAATGAAGAATTCTTACATTACTAAAATGTTTTAGATAAAATAAAACTTTTATCTCTTTCTGGAGATATTTGTTATAGTTTAGTTTGGTGGAGTTATATATACCCTCTTTTTAAATTAATTTTCTTGAGAAAAGCATTATTTCTGAACATTGAGGCAAATATTAATTTTTGGTGTAACTGAAAAGTTTGTTAAAAAATATATAGTAGAAGAGATAATCAGGCATTGGAGATTCTTTTTCTAAACCATATATTCTGCTAAAGAAGTTATTATAAGCTAAAATGTAAATATGTAATTGTCTACCTGTCATTTCAAAATTTTAAAACTGTAAAGAAATTACAATTTTTTTTCTTTTAATCTTGGGACTCTGATTATATGACTTCCTTGAAACCTGATTGAGTTTCAGCTGCTTTTTGGTGATTAGAGCCTTAAAAGTGCATTTGTTAAGATGCAAAATATATTTTTTTAAACTATATGTAAATACTTTGTGATTTATATACACTATAAAATCAGGGAAATTGAATTAAGGATAAAAACACTATTCTCAACTAAATGAATGCCTTGAATTTCTAATTGCTTAACAGTTCTGACAGTAAGGGAAAACAGTAGAAGTTTACTTTCCCTGTGCTGTGTCTATTATAAATGAGCATTCACACTGAAATGCATGAACTCTGAACACCTGTCCAGATTAGGAATGCTGCCAGGCCACAAAAGTAACGACCTACATTATAAAGATAATTAGTCTGAACAATCCTCAAAACTATTTCATGACTGAAGTTTCTCGTAAAGGGGTGATTTTAATATTTCTTGGTTTGTCTGTTTGTTTATAGTAAAAAACTATACTCTTAGATACCTGGATATCACAGTGAGTGATTTATTCTTTCATGTTACTCTAAACATTTTCATCGATTTCATGTAAGTTACAGGACAAGAAAAAAAAAGTAGTCAGGACCTACTACAATTAATTAATGTCTATAAGAAATTATTTCCCCAAATCTTCTACAAATTACTGAGGGCTATAATTCTTGATTACCTGTTGCCAAATAAGAGCTTAAAAATCAATTATTGCAGTCCTATCCTAAAACCTTTAAGCATCTCAATTATGGGTATCCATTTTACATGTGTTTCATTGCTGAATTTTTTTTTTCATTAAAATATTTGAAAATAACATGAAAGTAGACCTAAATTCTAGGACTGGCTCTGCCAAGACAGGAGTGGCCTTGAACAGCTCCCTTGCTGGCTCTGGGGCTTGGTTTCTTCACCTGAAAAATGAGGATTCCAGAGACCCTTTTTTATCCTGTTTGTTCAACATTTTAGAAATTGATCTGGAGGCCAGGACGAAGATAGATGAGAAAACATCAGTGAATAATACAAAATTTAACTTGGTGATAAGTACTATTGTCTAGATTTCTGCTAAGTAGAGATGTTACAGTTTTTACTCATAGAATAGTTACCTTGTACCAGGCACTGTTCTACTTTACATATTAATTTTTAGCTCATATAATCTTCACAAAGATTATTTAAGGTAAATATTATTCCTGTTTCACAAATGAGGAAATTGAGGCACTGAGCGGTTACCTACCTGCCTAAGATCACATCCCTGGCAAGTGCTGAAGCTGGTATGCAGTTTGAGTCCGGCTCCAGCACACATTCCTTTAACCGTTATACTACATTGTCTCTCTATAGGTTTCAAATATTTGTTCTTGATATGCCTCTTGATGGAACAGAGGTAATCCATATACCACTCCAACAATTTCCATCACTTCCCTTACATATGAAATACTCATTCATTCACCCAGGAGGTATTTACTAAGCATCTACTTTTGCACCAGGCATAAAGGAGTCCACAGGACAATTAAATGTGGTGCCTTCCCTAGCTAAGTATATACAGTCTAGTTCAGGTGATTTCTTTCTCCTCTTTTGCTACTGCTGTTAGGTTGAGTCTCACTTGTTCTAAAATGTGCCCAAGGTAACAGAAGAATAATTTACCTGACGCCTTTATTGATGTGTCCATAGAATAGAGAGTAATAGAACCTTCAACCTCCTCAAGACTCCCTATATCATATTTTTTCATTATTCGTTTCTACTCTTTTTGCATCATCTTCTCTCTGCAGATTGGCTGTCTTTCCTTATCTGGTTCATGTAACCTGCCCTAAAACATAGCCAACACTGATCTGTAACTTTACATCTAATGGTCCAGGCAACCAATGAGAGGCCAGGTTAACACTCTCTTGTTCCCATGAGTCTAATGAAGGACAAAGAAAAGGTTTGGATTAGACCCTAAAAGCTGCATTGTCAGCACTCACATATGTCATATGTGAGCATGTGTGACAGAATATGTCAGCGTATTTTGATGCATGCATTCTGGTCCAATCTTAGAGGGTAAAGGCAGACATTTTCCCCCTTAAGTCATATAGGGCAGAATAAACAGCAAACAGCAGTGGGGTAGTTTTCTTCTCTTGCATCACTGGATGGCATAACACTGAGGGAGGTGAATAAAACATATTCTTCTCTTCATAATTTCTAATACAAAGATGGAGGGAGAATGATAATAGAAAGTCATTTTCCATTTAATGTACCAAACAAAGCTAATGCCCTCAAGTGCAGCTTTTCTCCCATCCATCTTTTAAAAATTGCAGTTCTAGAGACAGAGTGTATTCTTGGTCATACTCCATGTAAATCAGCTTCTTACTTGCCTACCACAGCAGGGTTTAATTAACATGACACAATTTCACACATTCTTTCCCAAAGAAAAGCTTGCCCTTGTCAATTTTTATTATTATTACTAAATTACTTTTAGCAAGTCCATGTAACATATTTGAGGCCTCCCACTGCATTTTTCAACATTATAAAATATAGTTTTATAGTTCATTCCTTTTTCAGAAAAAGGAATATTGTCAGGATCTTTTAAATATCTTTCATTTATGTTAGAACCTGAAGCTCTTTAGTTATTAATACTCATTTTCCAGATGGTAATCTTTTTTCACTTTTCTTGTACTGCCAACTTTAACATGATTCTATTTCATTTAGAAATTGATTTTTACTTTGGGATGATGGTGGGTGTTAGTGGAAGAGAAAAGATAGGTTACATTGACAAGCAGGCACTTCCCCTTGCAGATATTGCAATACTTTGCAGAATATATGTTTGTATATATTGAGTTCTTTCACTATGTTATGGAATTGTCTGTGATTCCAAAAACTAATTGCTTCTTCTGCCTTTTGTTAATGGTAAATAATTAATGGTTAATATTTGCTTGGTGGAGTCTTTTTAAAAACAGATGCATTGCAAAGCAACTCTATTCATGCTGAATTCTGAAAAATCTCAGAATGGAAAAAATAAGTAATTGAGTAAATTTCAGTGAAAAGCACATTCTGGATATGCCTGATTTATGGCTCTGATCAAGGTGGTCACTGCTATTCACAATGTTTATATTATTGCCTTGACTGTTTGAGGCCAGTGTGACTGATGAAGGTAGCTGTTCATAGAAGATGGTTTGACTTAAATACTGCCCTAGTTTGTGAGTGCCAGCTGCTATTTGTAAAATTTAGTAGAGGCCTTTTTTCACTCATTCAACAAATATTCAATGGGCTATTCTCACTTCAAGTACTCTATTAGACATTAAAAATATAGAAGTGAACAGGACAAGTACTTACAGATGCTTCCAAGCTATGGAGAAAAATTGCATAACTAATTATAACAGAAAATCACATAACTAATTATAACTTTGGAACATACTACAGAGGTAAAGTAGAGAGTGATGTGAGAATGTGTAACAGGGAGGCCTGACAGATAAGGGGGATCAGGGAAGACTTTTGTGAGGCAGGGATATATATACTTAGAACCATAGGATTTGGAAGATGAAACCAGATGGGGAAGTGGAGAAAAAACTTTCAGACAAAGGTAGCAGCATGTGGAAAGACCCTGAGACAGAAAAGAGATTATCTCTTTTGGGAACTGAAAGAGGACCCACTTGCCTGGAACTTAGAAGGGAGAGCATCATCTAACCAGGCCTGAGAGATAAAAGTGGGAAGCATACCACACAGGGTCTTGTGGGACATGTACAAGAATATGAATTTTAACCAGCAAGTAAAATAAGCAATCATTGACAGGATCTCAGCTGGAAAGAAGTAACAGAGTTCCACTTTGATGCTGCATTGAGAAAATGGTAGAAGGAGCCAAGAACATTTGTGGTGAGATTAGTTGCTGCAAGTAAAAGAAGGTGTTAAGGATGCACGTAGGTGATTGTGGGACCATGAGGATGGTTTTAGCGGAAAGATCATAAATTCAGTTTTAGACAGGTTAAGTTTGCTTGTGACATGATTCTAGTGGAGCCAAATAGTGGCTGGAATATAATAAGAAAGGGCACAGTCTATGTGAGTTGTTGTTGCTATTATATCAAGTTGATAGTTCAATATAAAATCCTAGAGCTTAGAGGAAGGAGGTCTGAGTTATGAATGAACATTCAGAATTTACTAGAGTGTAGATGATAATGAAAACCAAGAAGTATATGAGCTCATCTAAGGAAAGGGGGAGGGGTGAAAAGAAGCCCAAGGACATGGTGCTGGTTATGCCTCTGATTGAGCCTCTTTCTTTCTTTCTTCTAAGATCCATCCGACTTTAGATCTCTGCACTAAGGGTGGGCTTATGTGCTTCCCACAACTCTACTTAAGCTAAAATGCTCATAGCTATCCCTTTATGAACCCTTAGTGTACTTTCATTGGTCATCTTCAGGATATTTCCCTCATTTCCTGTGTTATTTCTATTATCATCATCATAGCAGATAAATTTTGTTTGTTCATTGTATGTGCCAAACACTATTATAAGAGTTTGGTTTTTGTTGTTGCTTTTGAGACAGGATTTTACTCTGTCGCCCAGGCTGGAGGGCAGTGGTGTGATCATGGCTCACTGCAGCCTCCACCTCCCAGGCTCAAGCGATCCAACCACTTCAGCCTCCCAAGTAGCTGGGACCACCTGCCACCATGTCCAACTAATTTATATATATATTTATATATTTTTATATATATATATATTTATATATATATATATTTATATATATATAAAATTTTGTATATTTTTTGTAGAGATGGGGTTTCGCTGTGTTGCCCAGGCTGGTCTCCACCCCTGAGCTCAAGTGATCTGCCCACCTCAGCCTCCCCTCGTGCTGGGATTATAGGGGTGAGCCCCTGCACCCGGCCTCTAAGAGCTTTAACCCTCATTAAAATCCCCTTAGGAGATATCATAGTAGCCCATTTTCTTAGAAGGAAACTGCAGCATCTAAAGATAATAGCTGCCCAATATGCATTTCCTACTTGTTCCTAGCATGGAAGGATCGTGTTGCAGTTATCTTCCCAGGTGTATGGTATCTTTGATGCAGGCTGTTGGAGTTCATATTTCAGTTCTACCTCTACTAGCTGTGACATCATGGGCAGGTTACTTCACCTCTAAAGGGTCCAACACAATTTCAGTACCTATGTAAATGTTTATTAATATTAGCTGCATTACTATTGTTATTCTATATCTTCCCATATCATATTATTTCCTTCAGGGTGCCTTATAGGAAATCTTGATGATGTGTTGACATTTATAACTGATCCAACTTTGTAACTTTCTCGAACCTAACTATTTCAGAATGCCTGTCTAAGTGATCTGTTGATTTTCAAAATTTAAAATACAGTTTCCTGATCAGTCAGCATAGTCCTCATCATAGGTTGAATTCGGAGCAGAATTCAACCACAACTGTCAGTTCTGTACTGCTGATCAAGACAGTTGTGTCTGTGGGAACTCTCTGACATGCAGGCTAGTGTGCTTGTTCTGTACTTATTCAGAGTACCCTACTGACCATGCAAAAGTCTTCAATTTTCTATGTATTTTTGTGCAAGCATTTCACGAACATATTCATCACTATACTGAAATGTTTACATGTTGATCTTGTTGGCCTTTAAAAGTGTTTTCATCTCATTTCTTTTTGAAAAATTTGAAAAATTACTGGGAAAAAACATGAGCCCTATGCCCTTGGAAATTTCAGTCTAACAAGGAAGACAGACATTAGACAAATAATATTGTTAATAATATTTCATAAGAGTTATGATAAAGTCTCCAAAGGGAGCCTCATCTAAAGGGGAAGAATACAGTTGGTCAGCAAAGGCTTCCCTGAGGAATTGGGTTTTTGTAGCACATTCAGACGTGCCTGTAACCTGTCAATTCCAAAGATTTTCTTGACATTTTGTATTTGTCTACATCCAACTATGTTATATAACATTGTGATTTTGTTATCTAATCATGTATAACTTAGTCCATCTATCTATCTGAATCTGAAGTGTGCATCACTGAGTCAAGCCAATTTCCCCTCTTAGTTTTATGTTTCTATTATACTGGCATCTTTATCTTCTAGTCCCCAAGACTGCTACCTCCCCCAACCATAATTTAACAGTAAGCATGTTTTTTTTCTTCTTTCTTCCCAAATATCTCTCATTTCCATTCTCTCTCAAAACCACCTTAGTCTGGACCTATACCACCTCACACATGGATTACAGCAGCAGCCCCTTAGCTGGGACTGTCTTGACTCTGCCTACTTCTTCACTCTGCACAGTGTGGCATGTTCTCTCTCTGTTCATATTACTGCTGTTCATCATTCTGGGTGTCACTACTACACTAATCATCTGTAAACACTGTCTTTATCAAATCCCTCTGTTCAAATGCACCCAATGCTCTTTATTTTCAAGCTCATACTCTTGTACTTCACAATCACTTTCAAGGACATTCATTAATCTGCACCACTCTTTTAATCAAATATTATTTCCATTTTCAACCCCAAACATAGTATCCTATATTTTAGTTAATTTCACTCTGAGCTAAGCACATTGTAACCATTTCATTTCTTCAACCTTGCCAGGGAGTTTTGCCTGACATGTTGTCCCCATCCTCATATCCAAACCCAGTGCATCATGGCATGTCACTTTCAAGCACCATGTCTCTTAGAAACTGCCACTGACTTTACTAAGCTTCACTAATCTCTCTCTCTTTCTCTCTGTCTCTCTCTCTCTCTTCTGAAACCTGTAACAGATAGTCTATACTGCATAAATCACTATTTATTATGTACAACATACTGTTGGCTGCTGTCTCACAAGTCTCATTTCCCTTAATAGAGTCCATTATCTAGGGGAAAGGATTATTCCTAATATCCTAATATACTTCCGTGGTGTCCACAGTATTTACTACAGCACTAATTCCAAAGTAGGTGTTCAGTAAATACCTGATCACTAATTGCATAATGATAAGTATTTTTGGTGGGTGAAGGTTTTATCTACCATAGATATTATGATATTAAATTTATCCCATGTTGGGATGCTATGATTACATTAACTTAACATTGAATGAAATAGTTATTTGTAACTTCAAAAGATAAGTTAAAGCATTAGAATACAGTAAAAGTGTCAAATTAACCTACAGGTGTAAGATGCCATTGTATTCCATTAATTCCACAAAAAGTCATTGCTCCTGGCACAAGTGGTGCAATGATAGGCAAAAGAAAGGTACTATCTCTACCCTCTTGGAGCTTCCAGGCATACAGAAAGTCTGACTTTAAACAAAATTTTAATTATGGCAATAAGTACAAAGGAGATGCTCTTTTCACAAAGACCATGTATACCCACTGGTCTTACCAAGTTTGAAAAGTCAGAGAAGGCACCACAGGGCAATTGTGGCGAGGAGCTTAATTTTCCATATTCATCCATCTGCATGATGCCTCACAAGTGAAGGGCTCAGGTGAAGTCTGTAACTTTGCCTTTGCCTACTGCTACGGTGCCACCTTCCACAGGAGGAGTGACAGCAACAGGTCAGTCCATCCTGAAGTTTTCAGAGCTAACAGAAACATGGAAGAGAATGGGAAGTAGCTGTCCTTGGATGAGTTTGTAGTATGAATAGAAAGCTCTGAGAATCTGCACCAGAGACTGAAGTTGGCATGGCAAAGTGAGATGTGCAATTGAAAAAGGTTTGCAGAAAACAGGAGAATTTTAATGTATGCATTTAAATATGTTAGACCAATTCCTCAGGGACGTGCACTGGAATTTTTTCTTTAGCTTCAGAAGGAAACTTGAAGAGCTTAATAGAAAAGAAATGTCCTTCAGCATTTTATAATGGCTTACAGAGAAAATAACTTTGATAGATTCCTAATATCTGTCCTAAACAGTGAGAGCAAATACTCTTCACCACTCTGCCTCATCACAGATAAGAATTGTATAAGTTACATGCCTTTCACTTTTGACAAAGGGGACAAATTGTAAAATGCTGCTATCTAAAATGGAAAATGTAGCAATACATTTTATGTCTAGTCAAAAACACCTCACAGGTAAAATTGAAACGTAGAAATGGGAGGATATGAGATTTTGTATTCTGCTGTTATGCTCCAGAATATTATAGTCATAAGAACGTACATAACTGTAAAAGCGCAATTACTTATCAAAATGAAATAACTATAATTACAATGAAAACTCTGTTGTCCAGGTAAATTTTTATTTGCTTAAATATCATCTGTATCTATACCAGAGCATTTAAAAGAGACCTCACATGGCATGCCAAGTTCTTGTCCCCCTTTCTCTGCAGTGTTTGTAAGATTTGTCCCTTCCCTACAATTCTCCCTCACCTATGATGATTAACAGTTTACGACTACATTGTGAGAAATGAGACTGCACTGGCGTGCCAGATCAACTCTGTAAGATTGCTCTATGATATTCTCCATGTTATTAATTCTTGTCCCAGAAAAATCTGTTATGTTATCCCCCTAATCAAGAAAGTTGTGTGTCTCTAACAGAATATCACAGACTGGATAATTTATAAACATTAACAATTTATATGGCTCACAGTTCTGGAGATTTGGAAGTCTAAGAGCATGGTGCTGGCATCTGGTGAGGGCCTTCTTACTGTGTCATCTCATGGTGGAAGGTTGAAGGGCAAGACAGCATGCACAAAGGGGCAAGAGAGCAAGAGCCAGCCAAACTTGCTTTTATGACACTCTTGAGATAAGTAACCTGCTCCCAAGATAATGACATTTATCTATTCATGAGGGCAGACCCCTCATGACCTACTCACTTCTTCTTAGGCCCCACCTCCCAACACTGTTGCATTGGGAATTAAATTTCCAGCACACAAACTTTGGCGGACACATACAAACCATAAGATCTCCCTACAATCTTTCACAACCTCTGTACTCTCAAGTCTTAGCATAATCTGGGTTACCCATACATAGTCAAATTTATTTTTTAAGTATTTCTCACTCTTTCCTCCCACTCATTATTCATCATCCTTACCCAATATTGTGCTCATTCCTGCCTCTGTAACATTCCCTCTATCTCAAATGTCTCTTCAAATTACTCCCATCCTTCAAGGCTCTACCCAAATCCTACTCCACAGTACAGCCTCACCACCCCCTGGAGCATTCCACAGACTCCCCCACTTGCCATGGTCTCTTTCTTCTCTCATCCTGTTATAGTCATTGTCTCTAATCCACAACCCTCACATTATTATCATTCTTGTCACTATCTCTGCTTTATAATTTAGAACATTTTAAATAAATTCAGTCTGCTGAACATTTATATTTTAAATAGCATGAGAGCTACCCCATAAATGTTTGAATGCATGACATATATACCCTAAATATTTTAATGAATGAACTACAATATATAATTTAAAAGATAAATAACACATTTATCCTGTAAATAGAATATACCATAAATATCCTACAATTCTATTCTAGAATGTTATATTATTCATAAAGATAAACATATTGTTCAAAATATTGTTCATTGTTTATGTCATAGAATTTTGGAAGCAGAATGTTATTCGTGAACTTCATCATTTTACTTGGTACAGAGGCCCAAATGACACAATAAGTAAGAAGCAGATGTGCGATAGACTCTAATCTTATGACAAACACTAAATACAGTATTTTTCACCTGTGCTTGTTGTTGTACCAGCTAGCTTTTAGCCTGCCTTATGTAGAATCACAGGACCTGTCTTAATTTTTTTATGTTCCATTATAATTTCTTGCAAAGTTCCAGGACCATAAAACTCTAATAAGGTTTTGCTCTAAGAAGCACCCAGGAATTCCAGAGGGGGAAGGCAAGATGGCCAACTAGATGCAGCAAAGAAGTGCTACTCCCACGGAGAAAAACCAAGGGTTTGAGTAAATCAACATAATTTGGACAGATCTCTAGAAAGAAAATGCTTAAAGTAGATGGAGATGCAATGCAGATGCTGAGGCTGAGAAGGGAGAAGGCAGGCACAGGGTACTGGAGGCAGGGCTAGTCCCTGGCCCTCAACAGCTCCGGGGGAATAGGTTCATGATGGGACTGTGGGACTGCCCACCCTCACCATGTGCCTATGGGATCCTGGCTTAGAGGGCCCCGCATCCCCCATGGACACTTGATCTGACAAGGGGATCTGATTGGAGAGTAGATAAAGACAGAGCTTCATCCAGAATGGAACAGGAGCCTTTGTACATGGTGCAGCTCTGGCAGAACATGGTAATAGGTGTCCATAACCCAGGTCTCTCCATCTCCCTCCAAAAAGCTCTAGCCACAGCTGACCACTAGGCCAGAAGAAAGTAGAGCTGACTTCCCTGTGGAACTGGATCATGTCTGTTCTGCAGGCCTTCCAGCCTGCCAGCCCCTCTCAGGGCCACACCCTAGCAGCCCTGCAGGAACATATGCACAGTACAGCCTCTGCTGCCCAGCCTGGGTGCCTTGCTCCACCTGATTATGTTCCTCGTGGCTTGGGAGCACTTTGGATTCCTCAGAGCACCCAGAATCCAACTCCAAGTACCTGAAGGATGGAGCCCCAATTCCATCCAAGTGCCCGAGGGCTGCAGCAGCCACCTCAGGAATGCCAAGCCAAGTTCTGTGGCTGGCACTCAAGTGGGAGAGGAGCTCACACTCTCAAAGCACTGAGAGGGGTGAGATGCCTATTCATGGGCTGGAGTGGGAGGGGGCATGCCTCCCTCCACAGGATTTGCCAGGAAAGGTTGTCTCCCATCTACCTGCTGCAACTTCGGACCAGGGAGCCCTGCAGCACAGACACCTAACAAAAGAAATGCAGACGCACTGTCAGTGATCAGAGGGACTCCCCCAAGGTCCAAGAGTGGACATGGTGAGGAGGTCACCTCTCTCCCTGCCCACTGCAGAGCACAGCTGCAAATGTGAGAAATACAGAGGAGCCATGCAGCTAGATAAGAGGCTATCTACTGCCCATTACTCTTCAGCATCATCTACTGGATCCCAGCCCAAACTACCACGCCAAAAATATTTTGCTACTATACACCCCTGTGAAACCAAGGGCAAGAATTCAGCCACAAATAAAGGCCCTATAGAGAGGCTTGGGCATGTGAAAACATCCAGAAACAAATCCAACTGAAGTACTCAAATTACGTCATTGTTAAAGAAACACTGGACTTCTTAGATGCGAAAGAATCATGGTAAGACCTCTGGCAATTTAAAAAGTCAGAGTGTCTCCTCATCTCCAGATGAATCCACTAGCTCCCCAGCAGTGGTTCTCAACCAGTCTGAAATGACTGAAATGACAGACATATTATTTAGAATCTGGATGGCAAGAAAGGTTGAGATTCAGAAGAAAATTGAAACCCAATTCAAGGAATTTATTTATACTATCCAAGAGATGAAATATGAAATATCCATTTTAAAAACGAACTAAACTGAACTACTAGAGCTGAAAAATTCAGTATAAGAATTTCATAATACAATTAGAAGTATTAACAGCAGAATAGACCAAACTGGGAAAAGAACTTCAGAGCTTGAAGACTGGCTCTTCGGGCCAACTCAACTCAGACAAAACTAAAGAAAAATAATTGTTAGAAATGAACAAAACCTCTGAGAAATATGGGTTATGTAAAGACACCAAATTTATGATTCATTGGCATTCTTGAGACAGAATAAGCAACTGGGAAAATATATTTGAGTATATTTCCCTAATCACACTAGAGAGGTTGAGTTGCAAATTCAAGAAATACAGAGAACCTAGGCTGCATACTATATGAGATAACCATCCTTAAGGCACACAGTCATCAGATTCACCAAGGTCAATGCAAAAGAAAAAATCTTAAAGGCAGCTAGAGAGAAGAAGGGTCAAGTCATGTACAGAGGGAATCCCATTAAGCTAGCAGCACACCTTTCAGCAGAAACATTACAACCAGAAGAGATTGAGAGCCTATTTTTAGCATTTTTAAAAACAAAATTTCCAACCAAGAACTTCATATGGCACCAAACTAAGCTTCTTGGGAGAAACAGATATAAAATCCTTCTCAGATAAGCAAATGCTGAATGAATTCATTTCAACTAGACTGGCCTTAGAAGAGGTTCTTAGGGAGTGCTGAACATGGAATTGAAAAGCAACACCTGCTACCCCAAAAACACACTTAAGCACACAGCCTGCAGGCACTATAATCCACCTAGACAATCAAGTCTTCATAACAACCAGCTAACAACATGATGACAGGACCAAAATCTCACAGATCCATACTAATCCTGAATGTAAATGAGCTAAATGCCCCACTTAAAAGACACAGAGTGGCAAGCTAGATAAAAAGACAAGACCCAACCATTTGCTGTCTTCATGAGACCAATTTCACATGTAATGGTACCCACAGGCGCAAAGTAAAAGGATGGAGAAAGATCTACCATACAAATGGAAAATATACAAAGATCAGGAGTGGCTATTCTTATATTAGATAAAACAAACTTCAAACCAATAAAAATTTAAGAAGACAAAGAAGGGCAATACATAACAATAAAGAGTACAATCCGACAACAAGACTTAACTATCCTAAATATATATACACCCAACATTGGAGCACCTAGATTCATGAAACAAATTCTTCTTCACCCACAACAAAACTTAGACAACTATACAATAATAATGGGAGATGTCAACACCCCACTCACAATGTTAGACAGATACTCAAGGCAGAAAACTAATAAACTCCGGACTTAAACTTGACACCTGACCAACTAGATCTAATAGATATCTACAGAACTAGTCCACCCAACAACCACAAAATACACATATTTTTCATCTGCACATAAAACATATTCTAAGACTGACCACATGTTTGTTCACGAAGGAAGTCTCAATAAATTTTAACAAACTGAAATCATACCAAGAACATTCACCAACCTCAGTGCAATTTAAAAAATCAATATCAAGAAGGTCTCTCAAAACTACACAATTATATGGAAATTAAATAACTTGCTCCTGAATAACTCCTTGGTGAACATCAAAGTTAAGGCAGAAACCAAAAAATTCTTTGAAATTAATGAAGGCAGGGACACAACTTACCAAAATCTCTGGGATGCAGCTAAGTTAGTGTAAAGAAGAAAGATTATAGCATTAAATGCCTTCATCAAGAAGTTAGAAAGATCTCAAATTAACAATCTACCTTTGTACCTAAGGGAACTAAAATAAAGGAACAAACATACCCCCACAGCTGGCAGAAAAAAATAAATAACTAATATTAAAGAAGAATTAAATGAAATTGAGATGCCAAAATCCATATAAAAGACCAATGAAACCAAGAGTTGTTTCTTAGAAAAAAATAAACACGACCGATAGACCACTAGCTAGAATAACAAAGAAAAATAAAGAGAATATCCAAAAAAGAACAATCAAAAATGACAAAGATAACATTACAACTAATCCCACAGAAATAGAAATATCCTTAAAAATACTATGAATATCTCTACTCACATGAATTAGAAAATCTAGAGGAAATGGATAAATTCCTGGAAATGCAATCTCCCAAAACTGAATCATTAAGAGTTTGAAACTCTGAAAAGACCAATATCAAGCTCTGAAACTGAATCAGTAATAATAATAAAAAAAAAAAACCCTACCCACCAAAAAAAGCACTGGAGCAGATGGATTCACAGCCGAATTGTACCAGACATACTAAAATGAACTGGTACCAATCCTACTGAAATTATTCCAAAAAATTGAGGAGAAGGGGCTTCTTCCTCACACATTCTGTGAAGCAAGCATCAGCCTGATACCAAAATCTGGCAGAGACACAATGAAGAAAAAAAACTTAGGCCAATATCTCCGATGAACATAGATGCAGAAATTCTCAACCAAATACTAGGAAAACAAATCCAGCAGCACATCAAAAATTTAATATGCCACAATCAAGTCAGCTTTATTTCTAGGACGCAAGGCTATTTCAACATATGCAAATCAATAAATGTCATTTACCACATAAACAGAATTAAAAGCAAAGCCATATGATCATCTCAATAGATGCAGAAAAGCTTTCAATAAAATTCAACATACCTTCATGATAAAAACCCTTAACAGTCTAGGCATTAAAGGAACATATCTTAAAATAATAAGAGACATCTATGACAAACTCACAGCCAATGTCATACTGAACAGGCAAAAGCTGGAACCACTACTCTTGAGAACTGGAATGAGATAAGGATGCCCACCCTCACCACTCCTATAGCACTGGAAGTCCTAGCCAGAGCAATCAGACAAGAGAAAGAAATAAAGCATCCAAATAGAAAAAGAAGTCAAACTATCTCTCTTTGCTGATGATATGATTCTATACCTAGAAAATGCTAAAGATTCTGCCAAAAGGTCCCTAGAACTGATAAATGACTTCAGGAAAGTTTCAGGATACAAAATCAATATACAAAAATCAGTAGTGTTCCTATACATATATCAATAATGTTAAAGCTGAGAGTCCAATGAAGAATACAATCCCATGTACAATAGCCACAAATAAAATGAAATATCTAACAATACAGCTAGCCAAGGAGGTAAAAGATCTGTACAAGGAGAACTAAAAAACACTGATGAAATAAATCAAAGACAATACAAATAAATGAAAATACTTTTCATGCTCATGGATTAGAAGAATCAGTATCATTAAAATGGCCATACTGCTTAAAGCAATTTACAGATTCAACACTACTATCATATTACAAATGCTATTTTTAAATAAATATAAAAAAACTGTTCTAAAATTCACATGAACCAAAAAAGAGCCCGAATAGCCAAAGCAATTCTAAGCAAAAAGAACAAAGCCAGAAGCATCAGACTACCTGACTTCAAACTATACTACAAAGCTACAGTAACCCAAACAGCATGGTACTGGTACAAAAGCAGACACATAGACCAATGGAACACAATAGAAAACTCAGAAATAAAGCCACACACCTACAATCATCTGATCTTTGGCAAGGCCAACAAAAGCAAGCAATAGGTAAAGCACTCCCTATTCAGTAAATGGTGCTGGGATAAATGGCTAGCCATATGCAGAAGAATGAAACTGGACCCTTACCTTTTACCATATACAAAAATTAACTCAAGGTAATTTGCCTAGGCTGTAATCCTAAGCAAATTAAGTAAGCAAGTTAATTCAAATGCAGGACATCAAACTATAAAAATTTTAGAAGTAAATCTAAGAAATACTGTTTATGATATCAGCCTTGGCAAAGAATTTTTGGCTAAGTCCCCAAAAGCAATTGCAATGAAAACAAAAGTTGACTAGTGGGACCTAATTAAACTAAAGAGCTTCTGAACAGCAGAAGAAACTATCAGCAGAGTAAACAGACAACCTACAGAATGGGAGAAAATATTCACAAAGTGTGCATCCAACAAAGGTCTAATATCCAGAGTCTACAAGAAACTTAAATCAATAAGAAAGAAACAACCAACCCCCTTTAAAAACAGGCAAAGGACATGAGCAGATGTTTCTTCAAAGAAGCAATCAGGCAAGAGAAAGAAATAAGGCATCTAAATAGAAAAAGAAGTCAAATTATCTCTCTTTGCTGATGATATGATTCTATACCTAGAAAATGCTAAATATCCTGCCAAAATAGTCTCTTTATTAAAAGAAGACATACAAGTAGCCAACAAACATGAAAAAATGTTCATCATCACTAATCATCAGAGAAATGCAAATCAACACCACAGTGAGATATCATCTACACCAGTCAGAATGGCAATTAGTAAGAAGTTAAAAGATAACAGATGCTGGTGAGGCTGCATAGAAAAGGGAATGCTTATACACTGTTGGTGGGAATGTAAACAAATTCAGCCGCTATGGAAAGAAGTTTGGAGATTTCTGAAAGAACTTAAAACAGAGCTATCACTTGACCACAGATTCCATTACTGGGTATATACCCAAAGGAAAATAAATCATTCTACTAAAAAGATGCATACACTTGTATGTTTATCCCAGCACTATTCAAAATAGTAAGATAAACAATCAAACTAGATGCCAATCAAGAGTGAATTGGATAAAGAAAATGTGGTACAAATACACCATGGAATACTATGTGGCCATAAAAAAGAATGAAGTCATGTCTTTTGTAGTAACATGGATGTAACTGGAGGACATAATCCTAAACAAATTAACTCAGGAACAGACAACAAAATACCACATGTTCTCACTTACAAGTGGGAGCTAAACCCTGAGCACACATGGACATATACACAAGAACAATAGACACTGTGGACTATTAGAGGGAGGAAGAAGGAAGGAGGACATACACGGTGGAAAAACTACCTATTGGGTACTGTGCTTACTGCCTGGGTGACGGGATCCATACCGTAAATGTCAGCATCCCACAGTATCCCCAGGTAGTAAACCTGCATGTGTACCCTCTAAAATAACGGTTGAATTTTTTTAAAAGGAAAAGAATTCCTTAGGTGCCCAGGTAAATCCAAGCATGGCTGTACATTATTTTGGATTTGACTAGCCAGGAAATATGTGTTTGTTTCCCATTAGTTCAACTATCTGAGAAAAAATATTGTTCAGTTGACAGAGATATATACACAGTTTGCTTAACCTTCATGCACTCAAAATACTCTTAACAGTAAATCTGTATCAGTGTGCTGTGATACCAGAGGAAGTGTAATCCTAATAAATGTAGAACACCCAAATAAAAAAAGAAGCACTCATGTTTCTTTCTTATTATTTTTCAAAGTTACTAAATTTTCAAAGGTTACTAAGACTTGAAAGGGATTTCAAATTATTGCACAACAAAGTGTTTCATGAAGTCTCAGTTGTTTTCATTACATTTTTAAAAACATTTTTGGAGTAGTTTTTCACATAATTACTAAACTCCTCAAAAAGCGGAAATAGAATGGTATAGAAAGTGAATCAATAGGTAAATTTGCTCTTCTCCAAGAGTATATGGTTCCCAATGGTCTCACACCAGATTTGCAGAAACCCTGGGAAGTATTTTATTCCTCATATTCATCTTACCACATGACTGTTTTGATTTTTGGAAAATGCAACTATGAAAATATGCAGTTCTAAAATAATGAATTGCATTGTGGGACCATATATGCATTTTGAAAGGGTTATTTTAATGAGAGCAATTATCATAAGGTTGTTTCTCTAATGAATGTAAAATGTGTATACAATGATAAAATTGACTGTGCCATCGACTTTGCAGAAAAGAAAAACACATGTTTTAATTATGGCATAAACATTCAGTACCTGTGATTAAAAACAAACAGCTTGAGTATGTATTACATAATGTATAGCCAGATGGCAAGAAATGGCAGTGTATGACTTAGGTGACCTCTCCGTGGTCTTTGTTGTATAGTATCTACAGAGTTTGATGCAAAGCACAGTGAATATCATGAAATTTTCTGTTAGCCCAAAGTCTTTTTTTTACTAGGAATAGAGGGCTCAATGGACCCCTTTTCCTCTTTCTACCAGTCCCATGTCCTCACACAGATCTGGGAGAAGAAAAGGGAGGGCTTCGAATTTACTATACACCAGTTCATCTGCCAAGTACTCTGCCACTTATGCTAGTCAACAAGATAAAAACTTGCTTATTTTAATGCTGCAAACTGACTGTTTTATATTCTTTTCTATTTTTCAGACTGTATTTTCTGTGAGTCCTGATCAAGTGATACAAATGAGCTGCAATGGTGACATAAACTCTTGACAGAGATTGGAAAAGTAGCTGGAACACCATCTTTTCTTTTAACTTTTTATGGTGCTTCTGTTGGCATAGTTGGGGAAAGCACCTACAACATGAGTTTTATCATGAAGCTTCACAGACACTTTCAAAGAACAGTCATTCTGCTTGCCACTTTTTGTATGGTGAGCATTATCATTTCTGCTTACTACCTGTACAGTGGCTACAAACAGGAAAATGAACTCTCTGAGACGGCTTCAGAAGTTGACTGTGGCGACCTCCAACACCTACCATATCAACTAATGGAAGTGAAAGCAATGAAGCTTTTTGATGCCTCAAGGACAGACCCCACAGTCCTAGTATTTGTAGAGAGCCAGTACTCATCTCTTGGTCAAGACATCATTATGATTCTAGAATCAAGTAGATTCCAGTATCACATTGAAATTGCCCCTGGAAAGGGAGATCTCCCAGTGCTTATAGACAAAATGAAAGGCAAATACATTCTCATTATTTATGAGAATATTTTAAAGTATATAAATATGGATTCCTGGAATCGAAGCCTTCTAGATAAATACTGTGTAGAATATGGTGTGGGTGTCATTGGATTCCACAAAACTAGTGAGAAGAGTGTACAGAGCTTTCAGTTAAAAGGTTTCCCTTTTTCCATATATGGAAATCTTGCAGTAAAAGATTGTTGTATTAATCCTCATTCTCCATTGATTCGTGTGACCAAATCTTCCAAGCTTGAAAAAGGTTCTTTACCTGGAACTGACTGGACAGTTTTTCAGATTAATCATTCAGCCTATCAACCAGTAATATTTGCCAAAGTAAAGACCCCAGAAAACCTTTCTCCTTCCATCTCTAAAGGTGCTTTTTATGCCACTATTATACATGACCTGGGGCTTCATGATGGAATTCAAAGGGTTCTTTTTGGCAACAACTTGAACTTTTGGCTGCACAAGCTCATCTTCATAGATGCCATCTCCTTCTTATCAGGGAAGAGGCTGACATTGTCCTTGGACAGGTACATTCTTGTGGATATTGATGATATATTTGTGGGAAAAGAGGGAACAAGAATGAACACCAATGATGTAAAGGTAAGGCTCTATTTTCTCAAGTTTCAAAGTTCAGTTCATCTTCCAGCAGGGATACAACTATCCCAGTTTGTACTACAACTGGGTTACCCAGGACATGGGATTTACTGGGAAAGTCTGGGCAATCTAGGATTATCGCTCACCCTAAATCAACTAAGAAGATTATGTATTTCTATCTGAATCAAGAAAAATAAAGATTTTACTAAAAGATTGAGTGTGGCAGGATCCTGAAATGGTTTTCTACATGTATTTACAACTAGAGTAGAAGTCATTTCGTTTAATTACTTTCCAGAAACTATCTACCTCAAAAAAAAGCTATTACTAATCTCAGACTTAGCTCATTTAAATATGAAATTAAAGTGAATTTGTCTTAATGATAATAAATATTTCCACAAATTTCAAGAATTACAGATCTCATTGTAGCAAGTTCAGATACTTTTGGAAGTCAAATATGCAGTGCATTTTCTCTTATCATATTTTTCTGAAACTGAAAATCAGTACTACTAAATATGAAGATCAATGACTGTATAAGCATATTTATTCACATTTAAACATGAGGATTTAACTTGATTTCAGCGAACACTTCTGACACATATATGAAGCCAATCATGCCAAATTTAAATTGTATTACATTTCTTATTGTGTAAAACTGCTGCCCTTAAACAGAAAACAATTATTTGAAATAGTTTGTCATTATTATGAGTTGATTGTGTTACATAAACAGCTGATTGTTTACTATTAAAAAATTTTAAAATTAAAGTTATCTACATTTGTCTTAGTTTCCAATTCGAAATGTCATAGGATTCTATCTCTGTTATACTATGTATTGATTTCTCATAAAAGTGAGACTTTTGATACATAGTTTTTATTCTACAGTTTTGACCTTTTGGTAGAATATCTAGAATCAAATCAGAGAGCAAAAAATACATCTTGAAAACTTTGTTCTTTTCTCTAGTCACTAAGCATCTGGCAAATAATAGTAATGTTCATCACACTAGTTAAGTGGGCTAAGAATACCAGAAGGACCATTAAATGTTACTGTAAGAGAGTGTGAAGACTGAAAAGAAAAAAAACTTCCATATTCTTGGCACTATTTTAGTCTCTTCCTTTTAGCTAAACAGAAATTAATAAAGAAGCTGTATTTAAGTTTCCATTAAGTCTTTGTACTTACTTTTGAAAATATAGCTAAATTAAAACCAAGCTGGTAGTTTAAGCATTTATTAGGTGTTTGAAGATTACAAGCAATATATAATTCTTCCATTTTTTTTCCATTTCAAATGATTTTGGTGAGAAATGTTTTCAATATGAATATATTTCTGAAGTGAAATTGTTTGAAACTGTCAAATATATATTGTTATAGAATTTTAAAATATGGTAAATAAATCCCTGAGTTTTGTATGTAGCCCCCTGTTTCCCCTAATATTATACAAAATACAAAATGCCATTTGTGCTCCAGAAGTTAAGCCAGTTTTCAGGGGTATGAAAAATTAGAGGCTTATTGAACACATTAAAGAAAAATTTGGCATGTCTACTTTATGAACTGCTCATATTTAGATAGAAATATATTTTCTAAACTAACTAAATGCTTTTTTAAAAAATGTGTTTTGAATAATCTGGGTTTTTTAATTACTTCTAAATTGCATCTGTGATTGTGTCTCAAAACACTAATTTACTACAGTCAATTGCCCTGAGAGTATAAACAGTCATTCATGTATTCATTCTGTAACTAGTTATTAAGCGTGTACTACATGTGAAGCACTTTTTGGAACTTACAGATAGAATCTTGAACTGTAGTCCATTCCAGAGAAGAGGGGCAGGGGAGAGTAGAGTCATAGGAAAGCACATTGTGCTGAGCATCTATCCGTTCAGTTCTTGATATGGCTATATCCCATTCCAGACATAGAGGCAGGCTTTAGGGATACAATGATAAAGTGGGGGTGATAAATAGGTAAATAGCTTGCAACATGGTAAGCACAATAGCAAACATATCGACACAGTTTCATATAAATTATGTTGTGGGAAACACTACAGTGTGTGCTGTGTACCTGTAACTTAAGTATGTACTTAAGTATGTACTTAAGCATGTAGGACAGAGTTCAAAGGCAAGACTAGATTGATGTGATGATTTGGAAAGATGTAGCAGTAATTCAGACAAAGACAGCAATTTCTTGAAACCAGGAAATTGGAGTAAGAATGGAGAAGGAAGGACCAAATTAAGATCTATTTAGGAAGTAAAATTGAACAACTTAGTAATTGGCTGAATGGAGATGAAAGAGAATATAATCATGACATTAGAATTTGTCATGAAAGAGAATATAAGGATGACTTTAGGATTTTTGGCATAGGTTGATAATTGTTGATGATGTGAACAACAGTAAGTAAGAGGATCATAGTGAAGATCATTAAAGGTCATAATAAAAATTTCAGTTTTATTAAAGTCCATGTGGGATGCAGAGCATTTCACAGGTAGTTGCCTCACAGGAAAAGTCTGGGTAGGAAATACAGATTTCAAATTCATCATCCTATAGGGAATCATTCACCACATGAAAGTGTGTGAGCTCAGCCAGGGAAAAAATTTAGAGTGATAAGAGAAGATGATCAAATGTAGAATATTGAGGAAAATCATCATTTAGAAGACAAGTAGAGGGAAATATCCCTTGAATAAGAGTTTGAAAGAACAGTCAGAGACCAGGAAGCTGAGATGCTATAGCTTCAGAAAAAGTGTGATCAGCAGTATAAAACCCAACAGCAGGGCCCACTGGGCTAAGGACTGGAGAGTCTCCTTTGGGAAAAGACAAAGATCACTGGGGACTCTTGCATAATCTATGTGAATGGAATGATAGAGACCGAAGCCCATTTGCAGTAAGTTGGAGTCAGGAGTTGACTAAGGGGGTCAAGATGTGAAGAAAGAGAGTGTAGAGCACTCAGTGGAGACATTTTTGTATAAAGGAAAAAAGAGAAATTATACAGTAGCTAGAGGGTAGACTGGTTCTAGGAAGACCAACCGTCCTGGTTTGTCCAGGACTGAGAGTATTTGTTGCTAAAACGTAGAGTCCAAGAGTTAGATAGGGTGACCTAACTAAATCAGATAAGGAAGAATAATCAAAAATCATGAGGTCTAAAAAAATCATAAATTTTGTGATTAAGAGTATATAATTAGTATAAATGTTTAAATCAATTATTTTATTTAATTATTACCACTTATGAGCAAATATTATATTTTCCCTATTTGAAGTATTGGGAAAATTTAAAAGAATGTGAGAAAATCAAAAGTTACATAAACTGTTATGTACAAAATTGGAAGGAGAGTGCAAGACATAAATTTTAACTAGCAAACTAATCACTGCATGGATGTTATTTTTTTTCTTATGTGGAATAGAAAATGTGCTTCCTTATTTAATGGGAAGATTTGAATAGCAATGCAATATCAGCTTTACCCACCTAGATGTTGAATAATATGAGTATATTTTAAAGATCCTCAAAGCCACAGAAGAAACTGTGACATGGCACAAAGTGTTTCATTCTTTGTGCCACAAAAAGACAAAAAAAAAAAAAAAACAGACCTAAGTTGAGGTCTTTGTTTGTCTAGGAATATGCAAGCTACAAGCCATAGCCTGTAAAGAACCAAAGAAGAAAATTGTTTAGATAATTCAAATATTCCTTTAAAAAGGCAGGACAAATTTCAGTGAAATTGAAGTCAGGAAAAGTGTGTGTGTGTGTGTGTGTGTGTGTGTGTGTGTGTGTGTGCGCGCGCGCGCACGCATGCATGCAAACGTGTTCCATTGGACTATTGGATGAGTTTTAGTGACGTTCAAAATTTCAAGTTCCTTGTGATCTACAACCTACCCTCAAACTTCCCGACTAAGGGTTTTGGGAGAGAGAAAGTGATGTTTCTACAATTAAAAAAAGCTTCTACCATTAAAGCATTTGTTTTACATGAAAGCACTTCATGACCCAGTGAACACTAATAACCCATGTGATCTTTTAGGCGCATTAACTCACTCTTGTTGTAAGATCCATTATACCTTTAGACCTACCATTTCATATAACATTTATCTCCCAAGACATCTGAGAAGTCAAATGAGAAGATTCTGGAGAAGGTGGTCTTTCAGGGTTTTACTGAACTCCTTGCAGTTGAATACTCTCAATGCATAAAAGAGGTTACATATCACTCCCTCCTGCATCTCTCCCTTCCTCTCTCTCTTTGATTTCTGTAATAGGTACACATTCCTTTCAAACTTTGAGAAAATTCCTAACATTCTTCGGAAAATGAAGAACCCGCCCAGTCACATCTGAGCTTACTGAAGAGGTAACTGTGGCTCCTCCTGGAGCATCTTGTACTTCTTTCTGGAGGTACTCAACAGCCACTTTCCTTTTTTAACTACCCCAGACCTTTCTCACTATTTTCTTACATTTCAATATACCATAACTTGTCTATTTGTGGATTAGCCCTTAAAAAATCTACATTTTTAAAGTGGCCCCAGAAGAAAGGGAAGTTCTTAAATTTTTAATACAATGTCATGAGTGGCTATATCATTATTTTCCTCTCTAATGGAAGATCCCAGAGTACCTAGAGAAAAGAAAGTGCTGAAAATAGAAGTGGGAAGCTAGAAAACTGTGAAAAATAAGAGGTATCAAGCTCAGAAGATAAACTCAGCTGACTTTTCAGTCTTGCTTGGGGCTGACTGTGGGAAGCTCTAATTGGAATGTAAAGGTGCGCTCTGTGCTGCTTGACTTCACCACGAATATTCACCACCCCAGCTAAGGGAAGCCAGAGGCTTCATAAAATCACTAAAAAATAACAACATACCAAATATTGGGAGGAGGAGGAAAACACAACTGCAATCAATTATTCTGTCATAAGTACACATAAAAGGGTAGCAAAAATTTCTCCAGACAGTTCACTATTCATGTGCTCTGTATGAATGTCAAGATCTGTACATTGTACATAGTATTAATGTTTTGTCATTTTTCTCCTAAACTCATATTTCTTGAGTTCCTTTCCATTATATCTGATGTTTCTTATCTCTTATTTACTGATATTCATTTAATTTTATTATGCTATAGAAGCATGTATCTGCTTGATCCCATTACTTCAAATTTGCTAGATTTACTTTATAACTGGATACAGTATGCCTCATGTACTTGATAGGAACATATATTATCTAATCAAGGTATACCAACACAACCTTGTTAACTACATTTTTCAAATCTGTCTTCTTACTGTATTCTTTTTTGGGGGGTGAGGGAATGGAATGGTATCCCTGATGCTACCAAAAGAGTTATGTTTAATTTTCCAACTCTGATGGTTGATTGTAAATATTTCCTTGTTCTGAAAATTATTGCCTTCTATATTTTGAAGCTATGTTAAGTGCACATATTTTGAAATTGTATTTTAATATGTTTTTTCATTCTATGTTATCTTTTTAACTTTATTAATGTTGTTTTGCCTTTGTTTTGCTTAATGCTAATACAGCTATACCAGCTTTCTTTTGATTACTATTTGAGAAATATATCTTACTCCTTTTTTATATATTTTTAATCTCTCTCCTGTCTTTGCACTGTAAATTAGCTTTGAAAACAGCTCCTAGGTGAACTTTGCTTTTGGTCTACTCTGTCAATATTTGTCTTTTAATTAACAAGATCAATCTACATATAGTTAATTGGATTATCAATGTATATGGATTTATTTCAGCTACTTTATTTTGTGCTTTATATTTGCCCCACTTGTTATATTTCTTCTCTTCTTTCTCTCTCTTCCTTTTTACCTTCATTTGAATTGTCAGTTTCTTTCTTTTTTCTATCCATTCCTGGTTTAAATGAATGTATTTTATCTCTTTTTTTTTAGTAGTTTCTCCAAAAATTTAAACACATGCACTAAACAAGTGCCAATATCTTCATACCTCAGTCAAAAGGTACAAAGTTCTTTATCTCCAATAATGCTCTCTCTCCTTTGGCGGTTGGGTTATTCTGGTTCTAGATGTTAATGTTGCTGTTTAACACCGGATATTAGGCACTGTTGTTTTTACTACCATCAAAGTTTTATTAGATTTGCCAGATTTCTACTGTTTCCTTTGCCAACTGTTCACCTTTTCTCATCCGATGTGATTCTCAGCTTCTACACCTTACCCCTTTCTGTAAAGAGCAGACAGTCATGCCATTGACACGTAATTTTGATCATGACCCCCCTCTGCTCAAAACCCTCCAGCAACTTCCAGTGTCTTTATCTCTGCTACACGCCCAGCTCCTTTTCCCTCACGCTACTGCAGCCTCTCTAGTATCTTTGCTGTTCCTTGCTCCTGTTTCAGAATTTTGCACTTGCTGTTCTTTCTCCCTAAAGTGTCCTTCCCCCAGATTGGTGCATGGCTCTCTTCTTTGCTTCCTTTAGATCTTTACTCAAATGTTACTTTCTCAGTGAAGTCTTCTCTGACCATTCTCTTTAAAGTTGCAACCTCTAAATCTCCCATCTTTCCCTGAGAGTGTTTTGTTCTGGCACTTATGATCACCAATGATGTGCTAAAACTGGCTCACATTGGCTTACAAGGTCAATTTTGTGCATCTCCTTCTAGCTTTATGGAAGGAATATTTACACTGTAAAATAGACAAATGTGACAAATCTGGGCTTTTTATTCACACAGACCCAGTTGTTAAAGGCTTCACAGCATGCTACCAGACATACCATGTATTTTACTAATTTATTAGGTTGGTGCAAAAATAATTGTGGTTTTTGCCACTACTTTGTTATTTGGACTATTAAAATGTAAGCTTTATTAGGGCAAGATTTTTTTCATCTATTTTGTTCACGGATGTATCTCCAGCACAGAGAAATGTGCCTGGCTCAGTATATATTTGTTGGATGAATGAATTGCATTCTTTCTGAAGTATATCCTTTAGACATGATAAAAGAAAAACATCAGCTGAATTAAATTTAAAGGAGTTTAATTGAGCAATGAACAATTCATGAATCAGGCAGCCTCCCGAGCCAGAGTAGGTTCAGAGACTCCAGCGCAGCCACATGGTGGAAGAAGATTTATGAACAGAAAAAGGAAAGTGACATACAGAAAACAGAAGTGAGGACAGAAACAGCTGGATTGGTTACAGGTTAGTGTTTGCCTTATTTGAATATAATTTGAACACAACTGACTGGCCAAAACACAGTGATTGGCACAAGTGTAGACTACGGTCTGTTTACACCTCCACTTGTTATAGCTCACAATGTACAGAAAAACCTTTAGGCTGAACTGAAATTATGTAAGGAGGTGGCTTTAGTCCAAACTTTATTTTAAAGACTTCCTTCAATGAGAATCTATTCATGGTAAACCTTCTCAGATTTTATGCATTGTAAATGTCTTTATTTTCCCTCATCCTTAAAAGATAGTTTGGTTGACTTCACAATGCCTAATTAAGTTCCCTCATATATATCCATTGCTGCTCACACTGGGAAGATTGGTCCTCCCTGGAAGTCACCTAAACATTTTTGGTAATAGAATGTCCAGTTCCACTGGTCCCTAATAGTTTTATGATTGTCACAATATTAGGCAATTTGAGACCATTCTTCTCTCCCTCCCTCTCCCTCACTCTCTCTCTTTGTTTGGTGGAATACTTACTTATTTCTACATTTGATATAACGTGATCATATTAAAAATACACAGGAAAATAAATTACTGTCAATATTATTATCACATTCAAATAGCCATAGTGTGCTAGCAACTATACAACTGTACAGTTATTTTAAGGAAATAATTTTATAATTTAACATGGCGAAATCATAAAATAGATTAGCAAAGGGAAAAAACATTTCATATTCATAATCTATTTACTTTTAATATATTGTATTAAATTTGTTGTTACATTGTGAAATGGAATGTTTCTCTACTATTAAGGAGTGATTTGTTATGCAATGACGTTCTAAAAGAATGAGTTATAAATTATTTAAAGAAAGCAAAATGCTGTTACTGAACACATGAATATGTAAACAGGATACTTGGTGACTGATTACATTTTTTAAAGGTCTGATACAGTCTGGGCACAGTGGCTCATGCCTGTAATCCCAGCACTTTGGGAGGCCGAGGTGGTCAGATGACCTGAGGTCAGGAGTTCAAGACCAGCTTGACCAACATGGAGAAACCCCATCTCTACTAAAAATACAAAATTAGCCAGGAGTGGTGGCACACTCCTGTAGTCCCAGCTACTCCGGAGGCTGAGGCAGGAAAATAGCTTGAACCCGGGAGGTGGAGGTTGCAGTGAGCCGAGATCTCACCATTGCACTCCAGCCCCGGCAACAAGAGTGAAACTCCGTTTAAAAAAAAAAAAAAAAAGGTCTGATGCAATGAATCCAACCCACGCATGATACAGGAGGGCTGTCATAAATGGTACCAAAGCTCAACCAGACAATGATGAGTTCTACACACTGTAGTAGCAGAAGAATACAAGAGGCAAATTCAGAACAGAGATTTAGGTTCTAGAGATATTAAGAAAATTATGCACATTTACTTTGTTAAAATAATGTCATAAGATTTCAAAGGATATGCTGATGAATAATGAAACACATTTTTGATAAAGGAAATCAAAAACCTTGGAGAAAATTGTACGATTTGCCAGTTACTGGATTATGTCCTTCTCTTGGTTAAGAGAATTTATTTCTTCTAACATTCCATGTTTCTAGAAAATAAATCAGCATGTAAAAAATCTTTTTTGTATCTCTATGCTGGTGATTTAAACCTGTACAGACTGCAGTAAGTTACTCCCAAAATAGGTAACACTTACTGAGTATGTACGTTGTTTTAAGTGCTTTGCTTCATCATTTAATTATCGTAGAAATCCTATAAAACAAAGATTATAAGCAGCATCATTTTACATAAAGAAACTGAGGCTGATAGATTATGACTAACTTGCCCAAGATCTTACAACTAGTAAGTGGCATTCCTAGAATACAAAATGCAGATCTACCTGGCTCCAAAATCTGAGCTTTTCCACCTCATGTGCTTCACAGTTATGAGCTTAACACAACTGGTGTTAGGTGGTGTCCATAAAAATTTCTTCCTACCAAGCTCCACCTTATGGTAAATTACATCCTATCAGATTCTGTTATAGTTTGATGGGTTGTATCTAAAGCTTTGCCCTAGATTTACCGATAAGTCTGGAACAAAAATTAGTATTAGTCACTTCTTGAAATGTCTTGGGCTGAAATAAATTTTGGATGAATTAGAGTGGCATAGTGACAGCATAGTGACAGGCCCTTCTGGCGCTCAATCAATTAAAGAACCAAAATTGCCCATAATTCTGATAATCTCACTTTTTCTATCTGTATGTACTCAGATTTTAAAGTCTGTGTGATGTTGTAAAGTGCTTTATGAAGGCATTCCTAACATTTTTTTAAAGCACACAAACAAAATAGAAAAAGTCAAGGAAATTCTGACATATTGTCACTTAGTCTCTGGGAAACATGAATTAGTAGCTAAAGCACTTTTTTATTCTTAACTTTTATAGGCTTCCATGAATAATGAAACTGGAGACTGAAGTACAAAATGGATCTTAAAATCATGATGTTAATATAAAATAAATGATGAGATCTACTTGACATCATTTATAAACTGTTTATAACCAAAGAAATATAGCCAACTTATTAAACTTCTAGATAAACTGAAATTTTTAAAATTAAAATTAAAATTTACCTATAAAATACATATTAGAATTTTACCTTAAAAGATTATATGCTTTCTCATTTTAATATTAATAGTTATAATGATTATACAGGATTATTAATAGTTATTAGTTACACCAATTACTAAAACAGCTATGTATGGTTTTCTATTAATGCCAAAGCAAATTACCACCAACTTAGTGTCTTAAAACAACCCAAATCTGTCATTTTGCATTTCTGAAGGTCAGACATCCAACATGGGTCTTACTGAGCTAAGTTCAAGATGTCCACAGGGCTGTGTTCCTTTCTGGAGGCTCTAGGGGAGAACCCATCACCTTGCTTTTTCCATCTTCTAGATTCCGCACACATTCCTTGGCTCATATTCCCTTCCTTCATCATTAAAGCCAGAAATACTCTCTGTGCCTTATTTCATGGCCACATCTCTCTCAAACTGGAAAAGGTTCTCTGCTTTTAAGGATCCGTATGGCCCACCTGGATAATCCAGAATAATCTCCCCATATCAAAGTCCTTAACTTAATCACATCTGCAAAATCTCTTTTGCCATGTAATGTTCACATTCACAGGTTCCAGGGATTAGGACATGGATTTCTTGGCGGGGGAGGTAAAGGAGATATTATTCTGTGTACCACAAGCTATGCTCTTCAGGTAATCATGCTACAATTCTTACAACGACTCAACTCCCGCAAGAAACTCTGCTACTCTACTACTGTTTTCCTCACTGGGAAATGAAATCTTGATGGCATATACATGCTCAAACAATTACTCTAGATCTCTGAGTCAACAGTAGTTAACTAGGGAAAATTAAATTATTGTGCTGTTAAACGCTTCATATCCCTTACACACAGGAGGTTAAACATGGGGGAGCAAGTAACTCTTCCTTCACTTAGATGTCTTAAGAAATGTACCTCACCAAAGATTGCTTGGTTGGAGCAGATGTGTGACTATCATCAATTCATTACTTTAGGAGTTTCTAATATCATGTTTCTAGAAGTGCATCAATTATGAGACTAGAGACTGTTTTGAAAGCCAGTTGATTAGGACTACCACATAGTCACCTAAGCACAGTTTACCATTTTCATTGTTACCATTTCATTATACTTTTATTTTTCTATTTTGTTCTCTTTGATTTATGTTTCTGCATCCACCTCAGTTTCAGTGCCCTTATTGTATTGGCCTTTCCCCCTTTGGAATTTCTATTCTAACTACCCCAACCTAAAAACAACAATGGTGTTTTATCTGTTCATCCCTTCTGTCTTTATCTCCCCTGCTTTGATATCCTGGTGCCTGGTGCAGTAATGTACCTTTTTCCCCCCTTCATACATAGATCTTTATTTTATGTAACTTCTTGTCTCTATTTTCTTCTCTGACTATATAAACTGAGTAGAATCAGATTTCTGGGAAAGAAAAATATTGCGTGTAGAAATTAGACCAACTTGTTGAGGCACTGAACAAAGATCTATCCTCAAAAATAATAATAATAAGTTCTTCACTATTCTTTTGGATTAAAATATATATTTTATATATAACATATTATATATTATATATATTATATAATATATTTTATATATTATATATATTATATAATATATTTTATATATTATATATATTATATATTATATTTTATATATTATATATCTTATATATTATATTTTATATATTATACATAATATATTATATATATTATATATTATATATATTATATATTATATATATTATATATATTATATATTATATATATTATATATATTATGTATTATATATATTATATATATTATGTATTATATATATTATATATCATATATCATATGTTATATATTATATATCATATATCATATGTTATATATTATATATCATATATCATATGTTATATATTATATATCATATATCATATGTTATATATTATATATACATTATATATGTTATATATTATATATACATTATATATGTTATATATTATATATACATTATATATGTTATATATTATATATACATTATATATAATATGTTATATATTATATATACATTATATATAACATGTTATATATTATATATACATTATATATAACATGTTATATATTATATATACATTATATATAACATGTTATATATTATATATACATTATATATAACATGTTATATATTATATATACATTATATATAACATGTTATATATTATATATACATTATATATAACATGTTATATATTATATATACATTATATATAACATGTTATATATTATATATACATTATATATAACATGTTATATATTATATATACATTATATATAACATGTTATATATTATATATACATTATATATAACATGTTATATATTATATATACATTATATATAACATGTTATATATTATATATACATTATATATAACATGTTATATATTATATATATATATATAGTGCTAGAACAACATATAACAGAGTCATTTTTATCTAAGAATCCTAAGAGACAAAGTAGTTGAGTTCACAGAGAAAGACAACTTACTTGATATTCTTGAATAAATGAATTCAAGTGGTTTTGACAATAAAATGAAGATTAGAGTTGCTGCCAATGGGGTAATGAATAGTTATATCCTGCCAAACTCAGATTTCTGATATGCTGAAAAATACTTCTAGGAAATTTTGTATAACATTTAACAAAAATTATTTGACAATATTTTCAGGAAAAAGACATTATAATGAAAACCCATTTTAACTCTAGTGTGATTGCTTTAAAAAAGTAAGTTAGGTTAATATTCAAAGGATCTCGACATAATTTGCTAATCTGCTCTAGAAATGCAATAAGTATTTAAAGGAAGTAAAGGGAGAAAATACTTTCCCAGTCTATGTCATTTCTTATGTGATACAGGGACACTGTCATTGCTCTAACTGAGGGGCAAATGAACAATGGAAAACTAAAGACACATTTTTCCTTCTTGCTAGGACTGTCCTGCTAGAAGCATATCTCCAATAGCATTGTCATTTGCACTTTGCAAGAACTAATTAGTACTCAGTCACCATTCTCAAAGAAGACACAGCTGCTCATTGTATTCAAAAAAGTTATGTTTACCTAAGTGGAATCTATCTTTAAGGATGCCAGTGGCAAGAGGCTGTTCATCAAACTTCAGAATAGTTCAGAGCCTCTGAAGAGGCCTAGGAGGGCCTATGTTCACTGCTCCGTACTTAGAAATTGACACAATGTCAGTGTGGAGGGTGGGGGTGATGGGAGGAAGAGCATCAGGACAAATAGCTAATGCATGCTGGGCTTAAAACCTAGGTGACGGATTGATAGGTGCAGCAAACCACCACGGCACATGTATACCTATATAACAAACCTGCACGTTCTACACATGTATCCTGGAACTTAAAATAAGTAAATAAATAAATAAAAAGAAAAAAGAAAAAAAAGAAAAGAAATTGACACAATTTCAGTGCAACATCCTCAAAAGCAAGGAAAGTCTATGAGAGTAATTAATTATCTTTGTTTTCAAGCCATCAGCAGACTTCAGATTGTTTCTCTATTGTAATTGAATGTCTCTAAGGAGCAAAGTTATTACTTAATTAAAACTAATCCTTCTGGTCACTTACATATGACATAGTCAACAGCTTATACTTGATCTCTTTTTTTTTTTTTTTTTTTTTTTTGAGGCAGAGTCTCACCATGTTGCCCAGGCTGAACTTGAACTCCCGGGCTCAAGCTCAGCCTTCCAAGTAGTTAAAACCACAGGCCCATGCCAGCACACCCAAGTATACCTGTACTTTTATTGTTGATGAACCTAAAACACAGATATTACTGGGCACCAGTGATGAATCTACTGTTAACTTGTAAATGAACAGAAAGCAAAGTCCTACTGTATTTTTTTTAAAGAAATGGTTCAAGAATTCGTCACTAGTTTCTTCTTAATCATTCTTTTACTCTGTGATGTTCAGATGCATTTAATCACTTATCAATACAAGACAATTTTCATGAGTTTCCAAACCACGGAAAAGCCAAGAAACATCACTTTAAATGTTTGCTTAAAAATGCAGATTCCCCAATTCCACACTCAAAGATTTTTGTCTTGGTAGATCAGGGGGAAGTGAGGGGCCCAGATCACCTAGATGATTCTAATGCAGGTAGTAGAAATGCACATTTGGGGAAACATAGGTTTAAATAGACTACATTTGATATTATTGTAAAATATGAAGACCTGGGTCCTATTATTTTTTCCTGTAGAAAGTATCTTAAAATCATGTTGTATAAAAATATTTAATTTTACATATATAAGCAAATATATAATGGAAAGAGGTCACAATAGAATTAATAGTTTTGTGACTGAGTTTAATCTGATGCTGGAAGAGTTCTTACATTTAGTTATTTTGAACCATGTACCAAGACAGTGTGATAATATTTTGGCAAATATGTGTACATGTGAAAACTGCCTATGGAGATCAATATAGTGCATTTTACATGAAGGGACAGAAACAGAAGATTGAAGAAAGTAATTCCAATAAGTGGATGACTTGTTAGTATTGCCTAGTAAGAGGACACTGGATAATTTTGACAAAGTAATGAAAGGTACATTGCTTCTGTGATCTTTCAGGAACCTGTGCATCAGATCAGTCAGAAGAAAGATTCCAGCAGAGAAGGTTATGATCAGGAGGTGTAAGAGTTAGGATAGAGAAATGGGAATTGTTTTCCTAAAGGGGAAGGAACAGAGAGAGAGAGAGGTTAATTATACTTCAGGTTTAATTGAATGTGCTTCTAATGAAATAGCAAATAAATTACAAAAGAGATCTGAGGTTGAATTATATAGGTGGGATAGAGTACCCCATTAGGTGATTTTTTTAAATGTTAGCAAGAGAAGTAATTTTGAATGAAGAAATTTTACCTTGGGAAGCTTTAAACATTCGCCTTTGAGAAACTACAATTAGAGTGAGCCCTGTTTGGGGTTTTTTTGTCTAAATGTCCAAAATGAAAATAAATTTTTATTATTTTAAATATATAAACAATCCACGCACTTTGTAATGAAAATAATTAATATAGAAAACTACAAAGAAGAAAGCAAAAAGCAATTCTCTCCTCAGTCTCTCTACACGCTGGATTTAGTCAATCTTTAATGTTTGCAAATCTAATAGGTAAAATTTTTTATTTCATTCATTTTTTAATTCTTATTTGTATTTGTAAGAAAGAGTTAATATGGTCACTTATGTTTATTGTCCATTTGTATTCCCCTTTTGAGAATTGTTTCTTGTCAATCGTTTTCCATTGGAGTGTTTGTTTTTGACCAGTTATTATTTTTCCTCTTATTTCACACTCCATAAATGGAACAGCATGTTCCTTTGTTGTTATTTAACCTTTATGTATTTATATTCCCAGGAAGTTTTAATTATTACAAATTAAGTTTAAAAAGTTTTATTAATATCATAGAGGGGGAAGGCTGATACAACCTCTTTCAAAAGATACCAGGTTGTAGCACCTGGTACAGTGTTCCTGCAGTGAGCAACTTACTGAAATGTGTACTCTCAGAGCTCATTTCTCCCCTGCAAAGATGGCAATGAAATAAGAATGCAGCAAACCTATGAGTGTGAAAGCACTTTACAAATCATAAATCTTTATCTCTGGGTTTGTTTCTTTTCCTGGGATTAGACAATTAGATTTAATCATTGCTAAGGTCTCGACCAGTTCTAACTCTGTGAAATTCTTTAAAACATTACTAAGGAAAGCCCAGCACCAATTGACTTGAGCAGAGTAATTATATGGTGAAATAGGGTGAACAGAACACTGCTTCTGAGAATTAGGATTCCCATCCTTCCTCCACATGGTATGCTTTACATAACAGCCCCAGTGAATGCATGTGTGAGAAGGCTGGTTGGCCTCCCTGACTTCTGGTGAGGCAGAGAATTCCAAGACTCTCTGGTTTCCCTGAATAACATTATCCATCTGTTATATAACTTGTTTAAAATATTCTGTAGGTATTCATATGATTACTCCCTACAGTCTATTATTTTGATACAGTCCATAAGCTTACTTTTAATTTGAAACAAATTTCCCAGCCTGTGGTTCTTATCAAATCCGTCATCTATGTGTTCAACCCTCAATTCTGTAGACCTCAACCATTCTTTTTTTTTTTTTTGTACACTTTAAGTTCTAGGGTACATGTGCACAATGTGCAGGTTTGTTACATATGTATACATGTGCCATGATGCTGTGCTGCACCCATTAACTTGTCATTTACATTAGGTATATCTCCTAATGCTATCCCTCCCCACTCCCCCCACCTCATGACAGGCCCCAGTGTGTGATGTTCCCCTCCCTGTGTCCAAGTGTTCTCATTGTTCAATTCCCACCTATGACTGAGAACATAAGGTGTTTGGTTTTTTGTCCTTGCGATAGCTTGCTGAGAATGATGGTTTCCAGCTTCATCCATGTCCCTACAAAGGACATGAACTTGTTTTTTGTCCTTGCGATAGTTTGCTGAGAATGATGGTTTCCAGCTTCATCCATGTCCCTAGAAAGGACATGAACTTATCCTTTTTTATGGCTGCATAGTATTCCATGGTGTATATGTGCCACATTTTCTTAATCCAGTCTATCATTGATGGACATTTGGGTTGGTTCCAAGTCTTTCTATTGTGAATATTGCCACAATAAACATACGTGTGCATGTGTCTTTATAGCAGCATGATTTATAATCGTTGACCTCAACCATTCTTATCTTGACTTTCATATTTTCTTATAACTTTTATTTCAGCTTCAAGGGTACATGTGCAAGTTTGTTATATGGTATAGTGCATGTCACAGGGGTTTGGTGTACAGATTATTTCACCACTCAGGAAATAAGCATAATACCCAATAGTTAGTTTTTTGATCCTCACCCTCCTCCTACCCTCCACCCTCAAGTAGGTGCTGTTGTCTATTGCCTTCTTCTTTGCTTTCATATGTACTCATTGTTTAGCTCCCACTAATAAGTGAGAACATGCAGTATTTGGCTTTCTCTTCCTGCATTAGTTTGCCTAGGATAATGGCCTCCAGCTCCATCCATTGGGGTGTTCTACAAAGGACATGACCTAGTTCTTTTTCATGGCTGCATGATATTCCATGGCATATATTTACATTTTCTTCATCCAGTCTACTACTTATGGGAATCTAGGTTGATTCTATGTCTTTACTATTGTGAATAGTGCTGCCATGAACATGCACATGCATGTGTCTTTAAGGTAGAACAATTTATATTCCTTTGAGTATATATCCAATAATACGGTTGCAATGGTAGTTCTATTTTAAGTTATTTGAGAAATTGCCAAACTGCTTTCCACAGTGGCTGAACTAATTCACATTCCCACTAGCACTGTATGTCATCTTTTCAACCTCACCAGCATCTTTTATTTGTTGACTTTTTAAGAATAGCCATTCTGACTGGTGTAAGACGGTATCTCATTGTGGTTTTTATTTGCATTTCTCTAATGATTAGGGATGTTGAACATTTTTTATATGAAGATCAGATGGTTGTAAGTGTGAGGCTTTATTTCTGGGTGCTCTAACCTGTTCCATTGGTTTATATGTCTGTTTTAGTACCAATACCATGCTGTTTGGGTTGCTATAGCCTTTTAGTATTGTTTGAAGTCAGGTAATGTGATACCTCCAGCTTTGTTCTTTTTGCTTAGGATTGCTTTGGCTATTCAGGCACTTTTTTTTGTTTCATATGATTTTTAGAGTTTTTTTTCTAATTCTGTGAAGAATGTCATTGATAGTTTGATAGAAATAGCACTGAATCTGTAAATTGCTTTGGGCAATATGGCAATTTTAACAATATTGATTCTTCCTATTCATGAGCACGGAATGCTATTCCTTTCTTTGTGTTGTTTTTGGTTTCTTTCAACAGTGTTGTACAACTCTCCTTGTAGAAATCTTTGACCTCCCTAGTTAGCTGTACTCCTAGGTATTTTGGTTTGTGAATGGCTATTGTGAATGGGATTGTGTTCTTGATTTGGCACTCAGCTTTGATGTTGTTGGTGTACAGAAATGCTACTTATTTTTGTACATTGACTTTGTATCTTGAAACTTTGCTGAAGTTGTTCATTAGATCTAGGAGTTTTTAGGCAGATACTGGGTTTTTCTGTATATAAAATTATATCATCTGCAAACAGAAATAGTTTGACTTTCTCTCTTCGTATTTGGATGCCTTTTGTTTCTTTATCTTGCCTGATTTCTCTGGATAGGATTTCCAGAGAATATGTTGAATAGGAGTAGTGACAGTGGGCATCCTTGTTTTGTTCCAGTTGTCAAAGGGTACGCTTCCAGCTTTTGCCTGTTCAGTATGATATTGGCTGTGGGTTTGTCATAGATATCCCTTATTATTCTGAGGTATGTTCCTTCAATGCCTAGTCTGTTGACGGTTTTTAACATGAAGGAAGTTGAATTTTATCGAAAGCTTTTCTGCATTAATTGAGATAATCATGTGGTTTTTGTTTTTAATTCTGTTTATGTGATAAAACACATTTATTGATTTACATATATTGAACCAACCTTACATCCCAGGGATAAAACCCACTTGATTGTGATGGATTAGCTTTTTGATGTGCTGCTGTATTTGATTTGCTAATATTTTGTTGAGGATTTTTGCTTCTGTGTTCATCCTGGATATTGGCCTTAAGTTTTCTTTTTTACTGTATCTCTGCCAGGTTTTGGTATCAGAATGATGCTGATCTCATAAGATAAGTTAAGGAGGAGTCCCTCCTCAATTTTTTGGAATGGTTTCAGTAGGAATGGTACCAGTTCTTCTTTCTATGTCTGGTAGAATTCAGCTGTGAATCCATCTGGTCCTGGGCTTTTCCTGGTTGGTAGGCTTTTTATTACTGATTCAATTTCAGAACTCATTATTGGTCTGTTCGGGGTTTCAATTTCTTCCTGGTTGAATTTTGGGTAGTTGCATGTTTCCAGACATTTGTCCATTTCTTGTAGGTATTCTAGTTTTTGTGGATAGAGGTGTTCATAATAGCCTCTGAGGGTTTTTTGTATTTCTGTGGAGTCAGTAGTATTATCCACTTTGTGATTTCTGATTCTGCTTATTCGGATCTTCTCTCTTTTTCTCTTTATTTGTCTAGTTAGCTATTGATCTTATTTATTTTTTCAAAAAACTAACTTCTGGTTTTGTTGATCTCTTACATGCTTTTTTATGTCTCAATTTTATTCAGTTCATTTTTTCACATCTCAGTTTCATTAATTAAGTTCCAATATTGGTTATTTCTTGTCTTCTGCTACTTTTGCAGTTGGTTTGCTATTGTTTTTCCAGTTCATCTAGGTGTGATGTTACATTTAAGATATTTCTAACTTTTTATGTGATGTTACATTTAAGATATTTCTAACTTTTTATGTGAGCATTTAGTGCTAAAAACTTTCCTCTTAACATTGCTTTAGCTATATCCCAGAGATTCTGGTAGGTTGTATCTTTGTTCTCATTATTTTCAAATAGTTTCCTAATTTCTGACTTAATTTCATTGTTTACAAGAAGTCATTCAGGAGTAGGTTGCTTAATTTTCATGTAATTGTATGGTTTTGAATGATCTTCTTAGTATTGATTTCTATTTTTATTGCCCTGTGATCTGACAGTTTGGTTGGTATGATTTCAGTTTTTTTAAATCTGCTGAGAATTGTTTTATGGCCAATTGCATGGTTGATTTTAGACTATATGCCATGTGCAAATGTGAAACACGATGTTCTGTTGGTTTTGGGTGGAAAGTTCTGTAGATATCTATTAGGTCCATTTGGTCAAGTGTCAAGCTTAGGTACCGAATATCTTTGTTAGTTTTCTGCCTCAATGAAGTCTCCCATTATTACTATGTGGTTATCTAGATCCCTCCATAGATCTCTAAGAACTCATTTTGTGAATCTGGGTGCTCTACTGTTAGATGCAAATATATTTAGGATAGTTAACTCCTGTTGAATTGAACCTTTTATCATTATGTAATGCCCTTCTTTGTCATTTTTGATCATTGTTGGTTTAAAGGCTGTTTTGTCTGAAAGAAGGATAACAACTCCTGCTTTTCTTGTTTTCTGTTTGCTTCACAGATCTTTCTCCATCCCTTACTTTGAGGCTATGGGTGTCACTGCATGTGAGATGTGTCCTTGAAGACTGCATACAGTTGGGTCTTGCTTCTTTATCCAACTTGCCATTCTGTGCCTTTTAATTGGGGAATTTAGCCCATTTATATTCAAGGTTAATACTGATATGTACAAATTTGATCCTCTCATTGTGTTTTTGGTGGGATATTATGCATACATGATTGTGTAGTTGCTATATAGTATATTTACATCTGTTTTTGTGGTGGCCAGCAAAAGACTTTCATTTCCATATTTAGCACTCCTTTAAGGACTTCTTTTTTTATTATTATACTTTAAGTTCTAGGGTACATGTACACCACATGCAGGTTAGTTACATATCTATACCTGTGCCATGTTGGTTTGCTGCACCCATTAACTCATCATTTACATTAGGTATTTCTCTTAATGCTATCCCTTCCCCATCCCCCCACCCCATGACAGGCCCTGATGTGTGATGTTCCCCGCCCTGTGTCCAAGTGTTCTCATTGTTCAATTCCTACCTATGAGTGAGAACATGCGGTGTTTGGTTTTCTGTCCTTGCGATGGTTTGCTCAGAATGATGGTTTCCAGCTTCATCCACGTCACTACAAAGGACATGAACTCATTATTTTTTATGGCATAGTATTCCATGGTGTATATGTGCCACAATTTCTTAATCCAGTCTATCATTGTTGGACATTTGGGTTGGTTCCATGTCTTTGCTATTGTGAATAGTGCCACAGTAAACATACATGTGCAGTGTCTTTATAGTAGCATGATTTATAATCCTTTGGGTATATACCCAGTAATGGGATGGCTGGGTCAAATGATATTTCTAGTTCTAGATCCTTGAGGAATCACCACACTGTCTTCCACAATGGTTGAACTAGTTTACACTCCCACCAACAGTGTAAAAGTGTTCTTATTTCTCCACATCCTCTCCAGCACCTGTTGTTTCCTGACTTTTTAATGATTGCCCTTCTAAGTGGTGTGAGATGGTATCTCATTGTGGTTTTGATTTGCATTTCTCTGATGACTAGTGATGATGAGCATTTTTTCATGTGTCTGTTGGTTGCATAAACGTCTTCTTTTGAAAAGTGTCTGTTCATGTCCTTTGCCCACTTTTTGATGGGGCTGTTTGATTTTTTTCTTGTAAATTTGTTTAAGTTCTTTGTAGATTCTGGATATTAGCCCTTTGTCAGATGGGTAGATTGCAAAAATTTCCTCCCATTCTGTAGGTTGCCTGTTCACTCTGATGGTAGTTTCTTTTGCTGTGCAGAAGCTCTTTAGTTTAATTAGATCCCATTTGTCTATTTTGGCTTTTGTTGCCATTGCTTTTTGTGTTTTAGTCATGAAGTTAAGGACTTCTTTTAAGGCAGGTCTGGTGGTAACAAATTCCCTTAGTATTTGTTTGTTTGCAAGGGATCTTATTTCTCTTTTGCTTATGATGCTTAGTTTGGCTGGATATGAGTTATTGGTTGGATTTTCTTTTCTTTAAGAATACTGAAATGGGCCCCCAATCTTTTCTGGCTTGGAGGGTTTCTTCTGAAAGGTCTGCTGTTAGCCTGATAGGTTTCCCTTTGTGGGTGACCTGCTCCTTCTCTCTAGCTGCCTTTAATGTTTTTTCTTTCATGTCAACTTTGGAGAATATGATGACTATGTGTCTTGGGAAAGGTCATCTTGTATAGTATCTCACAGGGGTTCTCTGAATTCCCTGAATTTTAATGTTGGCCTTTCTCACAAGTTTGGGGAAACTTTTGTGGATGATATCCTCAAATATGATTTCTAAGTTGCTCATTTTCTCTCTGTTTCAGGAATGCCAGCGAGTCACAGATGTGGTCTCTTTACATAATCCCATATTCTCAGAGGTTTTGTTCATTATTTTTATTATTTTTCCTGTAATTTTATCTGACTGAGTTAATTAGGAAAACCAGTCTTTGAGCTTTGAGATTCTCTTCACAGATTGGTCTATTCTGCTGTTAATACTTTCAACTATATTATGAAATTCTTGCAGCGAGTTTTTCAGCTCTATCAGATCAGTTTGGTTCTTTCTTAAAACGGCTGTTTTATCTTTTGGATCCTGTATTGTTTTGTTGTATTCCTTAGAGTTTTTGGATTCAGTTTCTACTTTCTTTTGAATCTCAATGATCTTCATTCCTATCCATATTCTGAATTCTACGCCTGTTATTTCAGCTATTTCAGCCTGGTTAAGAACCATTTCCGGAAAACTACTTCAGTCGTTTTGAGGTAAGAGGGCACTGGTTTTTTGAGTTATCAGAGTTTGTGCACTCGTTCTTTCTCATCTGTGTGAGCTGATGATCATTTAGTCTTTGATGTTGCTGATGGGGTTTTTGCTTTTATCTTCTTTGATACTCTTTGAGGTTTGATTGTGGTATAAGGTTGGTTCAATTGACTGGCTTCAATTCTGAAAGATTTCAGGGGGCCAAGGCTCAGTTCAGCAATCTTGGGCTACATGCTCTAACTCTGAGGAACTGGTACAGGGCCCTTGGCTTTGTTATCTGGCCTCTTGAGGTAAGGAACCTGCTGCGCAGGAAGGGCCAATGTGTTCTTAGTCCACTGGCCACACTCTGATGGGGGGGTGCCAGCCAAAGTGCTTCACTGGGGCAATGGCAACAGGATCCATACTCATTCACATGTGCCAACAGCTGCATTGGTGCATTGGGGTGCACATGCGTCAGTTGGGGTGGGGTGCCAGCAAAAACCTCTGCCTTCGTTTTCACAGATAGAACATACTGGCAAAATATTTTGGTGTTGTATTTTGGGCTGTGGTCCAGTAGATGGCGCTTAAGAGTGTTAGCAGATAGACTCTTGGCGGCATGGCTCTTTGTGCTCTGTGGTAGCAGGGGAGAGAGATGACACCCTCACCTAATCTGCTCCTGGGTCTTGGAAGAGCCCCCTCCAATCACTGGCTTTATGCCTGCATTTCTTTTCTTGGGTGTTCTGGTCCAGAGAGGTCCCTCAGGCAGGGACCACGTTTGGCAGACAGGTAATATACTTGCCCAGCTGGCCCTTCGGAGGGAGGTACACCCCATGCCTCCACTGGCCTGTGGCATCTCATCTCTCTCAGTGATCCAAGAGTGAGGGCTCCTTCCTGCTTGGGCACCACCCAAGCCAGCAAGTCTCACTTGGCGATGAGCAGCAGGAGTGGGTGGAGCCCACCTAATCTGCTATCCAAGTACTTCCTGGGGAACATGGGATTGTGCTTGCCTGCCGAGTTCAGGTAGAAGCAGTCTGCTGGGCTGTAAGCTCTAGCAGGCATGGCCCACCTGGCTACCAGTGGCAGGAGTGAGTGGGGTTGCCCGCCCTTCTGTCCAGGTGATTTTCAGGACAACAGAAGATCACTCCCCTTGGACTCAAGAGTTGCCCCTGTAAAACTTCTGGGTGGCTCTGTGCCTCAGTTTAGAAGTGTGGGGGATGGAGCGGGCATGGAGGAGAGCCAGGGGATTTTTTCATTCCCAGTCTTGCACAGGACCCCACGGGGCTCTCACTCACTTGCCTTTTCCCATTTTGGAGAGGTTCTTCTGGCCTCTGCACTCAGCCCAGACAGGCTGGTGCCCAGCTTCACTCCTCTCTGCTCTCTATGTCTCCCTGCTGCCTTGATGGATCCCAATGTGGTTTTTTAGGTGATCAGCTTGTAGGGTCAGTGTTCACTAGTCAGTGAAAATGACACACGTGAACTGCTTCTAGTCTGCCATGCTGACCCAAACTCCCCAACTTCCACATTTTTATAGACTGAAAGGCTTCTCATCATTTCATCTTTCTGATTATTTACATTTTCTAGCCAGTTGCATAGGTGAATATAATATTCCTGCTGAAAATAGCTTGAGAGTTAAGATCAGTGGCCGGGCACGGTGGCTCACACCTGTAATCTCAGCACTTTGGAAGGCCGAGGTGGGTGGATCACGAGGGTCAGGAGCTCGAGACCAGCCTGGCCAACATGGTGAAACCCTGTCTCTACTAAATACAAAAATTAGTTGGGCGTGGTGGCGGATGCCTGTAATCCCAGCTACTCAGGAAGCTGAAGCAGGAGAATCGTTTGAACCTGAGAGGCAGGGGTTGCAGTGAGCCAAGACTGCACCATTGCACTCCAGCCTGGCCAACAGAGCCAGACTCTGAAAAAAAAAAAAAAATCAGTGTGGGTCCAAATCTCAAGTCTGCCCCTTTCCATTTAAGTAACCCTAGGCAAGTGTTTAACCCACTTCACCATCAGTTTCCATATCTTTAAAATAAGAATCACACTTACTTCATAGCATGAAAGTGAGAATGACACTCTATGTCAAATGCCTAATACAAGTTGGCCCTCAATATTTACACTATTTTTTTTACTGTGAACATAACATGTACTGGGAGAATATATTTGAGCAGCATTTTGGAAGGAATACTAAAATGAGTAAAATTAATTCTTATAAATGCTTCAGAAGTATAAAGTCAGCTACAAGAAAACTAGACCATTTTTGGCCATTCACTCAAAAAATATTAATTGGTGTCTACTATGTGCCAGGCATTGTTCTAGGAGCTGGTGGTGTAGTGGTAGCCAAAATGAACAAGTCTGCTGGTTACATATATCTTACCTCTAATGAGAGGAAAAAGACAAGAAACACATAAGAACCTGAGCAAATAAAATAATCTTATAGGAATAAGAGAGCTACGAAGAAAATGAAACAGGGTCAGTGGGATGCAGAGTGGTGGAATATGCCAGGGAGGTTGAGCACAAGGGGAATGCTGATTTAGAGAAGCTGAAAGGGAAATCTTCTCTGGTATAACATGTGAGCTGAGACATGAAAGAGGAGAATAGCCTACAATAAACACAAATACATAAGGTAAGAGAGTTCTATGCAAAAGAAACAGGCCCTATTATGAAACAAGCCTGGTGTAATCGAGAGAGAGAAGAAAGGTCAGTGTGCGTGGAGCACAGTGAATGTGAGGGAGCCCAGGATGAGAGGAATTCAGAAAAACAGACAGGAACCAGATTATGTGGGGTCTGGTGGGCCATGGAGAGGAATTTGGATTCTATTCTGATTTCAGGGAGCAGCCATTGGATATCTTTGGCAAGGGAATAATAAGGTCTGATTTAGGTTTTCTTAAAATTATACTGGCTGTCGTATGGAGAATGGACTGTAGAAAAATAATGGAAGGTGAGAGTCCAGGCAGGTGGCTACTGAATTAGACCCAACAAGTGATAGCGGTGGTAATAAAGATGGTGAGAAGTTAACGGGCTTGAGACATATTGAAAATGTAGCTAAAGGAACTTGCTCATAGATGGTATGTGGGAAGCACTAGGAAAGAATAGAATCAAGGATACCTCCTAGGATTTTGGCCTGACAGCAGTGTGTTCCTCCAGTTGGGGAGCCCTAGAGAAGAGACTGTACTGCAGTAGTTGTGAGACATGCACTGTGGACAAACACTAAGTTTGCATCCCCTCTTCATCACCTGATCCTCTGTATCAATTTTCTTTTTGGTAAAATTAGAATCATATAGCAGCACTTATTACTCAGATGTGCCTTACGGATTAAATTAATAAACACGTGTAAAGTACTTAAAACAGTACCTGGTGTTAGTTATTATTAACGGGATGGGGAGGGTGGGAGCAAGAATTCTCTTCTACAGTTGCTACATCTATGGTGCCTTTTAGATGTCCAAGTAGAGATGTGCAGGCAATAGGGTATTCGAGTCTAGAGTTCAGAGAGATGTTGGGAGGAAAGATATAAATCAGGAACTCAATAGCATACTGATAGTATTTAAATTCCTGCCACTGGATAAAATCATCTGGGAAAAGACAGTAGAGAAGAGAGTAAAAGAGGATCATCCCTGGGGTATGTCACCATGAAGGTCATGGCCACATATACTTAGATTTCACAGAAATGATTTGAGAGTCTAAATGAATTCTTTATTTCACTCTTTATTTTTAGGGAACATCCTATTCCTAAATTAATTCACGAAAGTCTCATTTGAAGTTCTGGATCACAAACTGCCCTCCATTTTACATTTCACCCATATGTTCTCCCATCAGATTATAGGTCCCTCATGGTGATGTTATGTGCCATATTTTTTTAATGTCCTTCACTCTTCCTAGCACAGAGTAATACACATAGGCTCCCTCAATAAATGTCTGCTGGAATAATTATTTAAAGAAATTATGATGAATAATCTGTGTTTTCCATGGCACCATATGAAGGACTAGCTACTGAGGACATGAATTATTTTGCTCTAAGGAAGAAGATAAACTGAACTCATTTTATTAGGGAGAAAATGTGAACCCTGTGGAAAACCAAAGATGAATCTAGGCTTATAAATAAACTTATCTTCCTAAAACCTGTCTTTTTCTACTGCACAAGGAAGGGGTGTAAAGTGAAAAGATAATGAGGCTTTAGACTTAGGCAAACTTGCGCTCAAATCTCCCATCTATATAAGTTGTGAAGCCAGAACAATTTACTTACGCATGTGAACCCATCTCATCTTTAAAATAGGAATGATAATAATACCTACCTCATGGAGTTTGAAAAGGTCTAAATGAGTTTTGTGATGTGAACAGGGTCAGGTGATGCATGCACATGCAATGTGTGGCATTATAGAAGAAGAACCCTAAAGTTCGAGAACCCATATCTTTTATGGCATAAATTGGATACTCATATATTAGTTTCCTTATCTCTCCTAAAAAATACACTATATTTTTATGCAAGGTTTTTGCACTTATGAATTCATTATGCTCAGGACATAGCTCACAATTATGTGCATATAAAACTCAGTTTATTTTTTAAATGATGCATACAATGCAAGTGATTGTGTGTGTGTGTGCGAGAGAGAGATCTGTTGATACAAAAGTACATTGCAGTATAAAAAATGTACTTAGTTTTACATACATAAATTTACTTCTTTCTTAATGAAAATATGTGTGACAAGATCCTTCATATGTAACAGGAGGGATTTCTTACACTGTAGTAATTTGCTGCTTTTAAACAGACTTAGCAGCATCCAGAGGCAAAGGCTGTTATGGGCTCATTATTTCCTGCCCCCCAGAGGATGAACTGTGCTAATTAAGTACATTTAAAGGGAAAAAATGCCTCTTTGCTGTGTCCCCATTATGCTACTGTCTCTTTACTTCCTGATGCTTGTTACAATTTATTAGCTGTGAATTATACCTGCCAGTAAATTAACCCTTCTTTCTCCACTCAATTTGTCAGATAAAAAAGTTGCATAAAGTTAAAAGCCAGCCAGTTGGCTTCCTGAGAATATAGATATGGAACAATTTCCTGCAGCATTGAGCCTCAGAAGAATTTAACAGCTTTGGTGAATCTAGTACCAATGCTCATTTTCAAGCCAGGAGCAAACACATAAATCATGTTCAGCACAATGTACCTGCCTTTAGAAAGCTGTTTACAGCCATGTATATTTATTAGTTTTCCATGATTTCAAGCAGTATGTTTTCTTTACCCTCTCCTTTTCCTTGCAAGCACACACACAAATTCCTATCACAAAGTCTCTCTGGTACGTCACAAAACACAGCCTTTGGGGGTGATTATTTTTCCCGAGTATTTTTACATCCTCGTGCCAATGCTTCAGATAGTACCCTAAATTAACTGTATCTTTTGCTGTCCATGGATACTTACAAGTTTCCTTTTGCCACTTGTCAAGAGCAGTGAAGAGTCTTGAGATTTCACTTGCAAACTAACAAGTCACCCTGACATAGTTTCATGGTTGCTGGCAGAAGGTGCAACACTCTTAGATCAAAGAGAAAAGGACTTTATTACTCACAGCATTAGCGTTAGCCAGAGTAGCAGCATGTACTCCAAGTTCTAATTCCTACAGGGTGATGTGAAGAGTGCCAGATGATACCTGCACATACAGTGGGTTGCATTATAGGAGATGAACTCTAAGCTTAGGGAAACCAAATATTTTATAATGGACAGTAAGCCTGAGTGACCTTTGCCACAGAAGTAAATATTGTCTTTTTATGCTGCAAAATAAACAAAATTGTTCTTTACTACAAAGAAAGACACTATCTCTATCTTCCAAGGTTGTTTTTACAGATGTCCTCAAAACAACAGTACAGAGCAAAGGCACTAAGTGTCTCTGCCCACAAGATATGCATAAATGTAAGAGTACTGTATTAGTCTGTTCTCGCATTGCTATGAAGAACTACCTCAGACTGGGTAGTTTATAAAGAAAAGAGGCTTAATTGACTCACCGTTCCATGGGCTGTACAGGAAGCATGGCTGGGGAGGCCTCAGGGAGCTTCTAATTATGGCAGAAGGCAAAGGGGAAGTAGGCACATCTTACATGGCCAGAGAAGGAGTAAGAGAGAGGTAAGGGAGAGGTGCTACAGTTTTAAACAACTAGATCTCATGAGAACTCACCCACAATCACCAGAACAGCAAGCAGGAAATCAACCCCACATGATTCAGTCACCTCCCACCAGGACCTTCCTCCAACACTGGGAATTATAATTTGACATGAGATTTGGGCGGGGACACAAATCCAAACCATATCAAGTACCATGAATTATTTTAAAACACCACTGATGCTTTTTCTTCATGAATGTGTATTACAATTTAATAGTGTTTTCAATACATGAGTTTTTACAGTTAATATGGACTTAGTAACTTGAATACATAATCCCAAAATCAAGTCTTCTTGCAAAGAATACCATAAAATCCTTTCTTAAACTAAATGGAAATTCAATTTTTAGTAAATGTACTTAATCGATGTGTAACTCAATTTCCTCACCAGTATAATGAAATAAATATAATACTTAATTCGATTTATTATTGAGTAGATTAAATGAGATAGTCCATGTAGAATGCTTAACACAGAGCCTGGTATTCATTAAGTGTTCATTTCTCCATAAATGTTAATTTTAATTAGAATTAATTGTCAGTACCCTTTGATGAGAGGTACTTAAAATACCCCCTTCACTAAACCACCACCATTGAGCCCACTTCCAAATGTACCTTGGGAGTGCTGGTTTGCCTTTTGTTGGTATAGAGGCATTCATCAGGAAAGGGTAGAGATACAAGAAAGTAATATTCTTGAAGACTTATTATGTGTTTTTAGTTGACTATGTGACCTAGTGCTTTCATGTATTATTTCATTCCTTCTTAACAGCATTCTCATAAAGAATGCATTATTTTTTAGATGAGTGGACCGAGATTCAGACATTACTGAAGGTCACACCATTTGTAATGGAAAAGCAGGAGTCAAACCCTGTCTCACTCTAGTCTGACTCTGTGCCTTTACAATTTTTAACCATTCAGTCTTATTTTCCTCAACAATCTTTCTATCTTTTGGGACTAACTATGCCTTTGTGACAGAAAATCCTCTCTACTCTGTAGACTCCATTGCCAATGAGAACAATAGGTTCACAGTGGAAAGAGAGATTATGCCTCCACCTGTATTCTTCTAAAAATGATATCCATCTCTTCATTTTTGACCTTTTTTGAGGAAATGACAAGATGTAATTCAGAGGATACAAAGTAGTAGATATGTAGCATGAACAAGTCTAAAGATCTGATGTACCACATGAGAACTACAGCTAATAAAATTGTACTGTATTTCGGATTCCTGCTAAATGAGTAGGTTTTAGCTACTCTTGCTATAAAAACAAAAAAAAAATAGGTAACTATGTGAGATGATGGATATGTTATTTGCTTCACTATAGTAATCATTTTACTATCTATATGTATCCCATAACATCATTTTGTTTATCTTAATTATACATGATAAAATTGATTTTTAAAAAAATAGTATCCACGATGTGTTAGGCCCAAGCAACTTATGGCCCAAATGCCCCTTTTTGTACCAAAGCCTATTTCTGGATCCATAGGCTCAGTCAACATGTTTTTCTCACTCTTTTTGAAAGTACCTGATTCCTAGTTTAGTGTTTCTGAAATCTCTCTCAGGAACTTTAATGACAGTGTGACATCTTTGAGAAATGCAAGCATGACCTCTGTTCTGTCATATGTTGGTTTTACAAGGGACATTACATTAAACAGAAAATATGAAGTGATAATAAGCCTGCAATAATAACAAAATCCTCATTCAGGAAAGTGAAAGAACTTGTGTTTTACTTTTAGAGATAGACTCTTACTATTACACTAACACAAACAAATAAAGGTTAAAAACATGCCTTTTTAACTTAGTTCCATAGGAATTTTGTTTCTTACCAACTCTGCACGAAAGCCAATTAAACATTATTTAAAAACAACTGGAATGGGCCAAGCGCGGTGGCTCACGCCTGTAATCCCAGCACTTTGGGAGGCCGAGGTGGGTGGATCATGAGGTCACGAGATCGAGACCATCCTGGCTAACATGGTGAAACCCCGTCTCTACTAAAAATACAAAAACAAAATTAGCCGGGCATGGTGGCAGGCACCTGTAGTCCCAGGTACTCCGGAGGCTGAGGCAGGGAATTGCTTGAACCCAGGAGGCAGAGGTTGCAGTGAGCTGAGATCACGCTATTGCACTCCAGCCTGGGCGACAGAGCGAGACTCCGTAAAAACAACAACAACAACAACAACTGGAATGAAAACCAATATAGGGAAATAATCTTAACATTAGAATCAAGTATGCGGAATTAAGTTTTGTATCTCCTAAAATCTTTATTGACAGTAGCAGACCATATCAAAAGTCTTCTGAAATGCTTCTAGCGCTCTCAAAAATGCTCCACATCAAGAAACTTTTAAAATAAAATAAAATAAATGCCTAGTGGAAGAGTTCAGACAACAGTCCCAAAACTGCCTGAAGACATTCAGAATTCCTCTATAATCTTTATACAGATATTAAGAGAAAAAAAGTACTAATAGAAATTGTTCTGGTTTGTAATTGCAAGTATAATCACACAGTTCCTGAAAATAATAGATTGATGTTATAATATTGGGCAAGCCAATCAATGAACACAATATGCAGAATGATAAGTGGTGAAAAAAATGCTGCAACCTTTTGTTGATAACACTGCTGAATCCAAACTCCAACCCTTGTTCAAGTTGAACACTCTCGTTTCATTGTTGGGTAACAACAATGAATATTGTTGGGTAACAATTTTATATATGCTTCTCTTTGGGTTAGGTAGTGGCTTGTTGTTGTTATTTGTTTTTTGCTTGCTTTGCCCTCTTTAAAATTTTTAGAGGAAAAAAACATAACAGATACATAACATGGTCTCATGAGAAAACCAGAACACAAAGCCATGAAATGAAGAATTTCATTCTGTCAACCTGTTTAGCTTTCCCTGGGAGTTCAATCATCGTATGGGCTTTTATGTGTTCCGCTGAGCATTTACTGAGAACATCAGCCATTATGGGCTGCTGCCTAGCTACATGGTCATGTCGTTACTTCGCATTTATCTGGAATCCTCTATTCTCTCAACAGACATTTTTATTCTGTTCCATATGACTACCATTGTGAGAAAGCTTTGTTATTTTACTTGAATGAGGCAGTGAGTAGGTCTTTATTTTTTCAGGAACATACTCCTCCCCTGTAGCTGTACCTGAAAATTAGGTGACTTTCTCATAGCTTTTTCAAACCCATAAATCTTCTGTCCCTTTCACGCAATGTACTTACTTATATTTCAATTTTAGCATCTTGCAATCAAGTCTGATTCCTAGACCTTGTTTAAACTTTGGGCTGTTTTTAATTTATGAATCGTTTTGGAAATTTTTCTTTGCATTGAGTTATAAAATGTAGACTAAAACTCTAGCAATGTAGTAAAATCTTTTCAAAGTTTGTCTTTCATTTATTGATCTGATCCAGATCCTCTTGTGTGCATCACCCTAGAAACCTTCAATTTAATCCATTTTTTTTCAGTACCCCTAACATCTTAAAACTTAGTCATTCAGACACCACCCACCCGCCCTCTGACACCTTCTTCCTGATTGAAAGAGGCATTTATGTATATGAGTCACCTCCTGCCAGCTTCACAGGAATTACATAAAAGCAATCTGCCAACCATCTTGGCCTAAGGACAAAAAATCACATTTAGTGTCAAAGTAAAAGTCATTCTTGCTTGTTGGAAAATCACAATAGAGCACTTTAGGACCTTAACTCGCAGGACATCAGGCCTTAATCTACAGTCTATACTACAAATGAGGGAACTCATAAATGCTATGCTTTCATCGGTTTGGGTAAGCTTCTTGGCCTAATAATCCTAAAACCATTTTAAATGCTTTTTGTAGTTGAAAATGAAAGGCTAATTCATATTCAGGAAAGATTATACATATATTAAGGGGAGAATGTGGACTAAGAAATAAACATAATATTAGCAAAACACATTATCTTTCCATGCTAATACAAAAATATTCATGCAGAAAGTTATTTAAAAAGCACCGCTTATGGCAGGAAAGGTGGTTTTATGGTCTAAGAAAAATGAATTGAAAGATTTGCCTAGATAAATTGTTATAACTAGAAATATTGGTCAGGATATTTTTAGTTTTTTTTTGTTTCTAGACAAGACAGCTTAGACCATATGGAAATATGGGTTTAAATCTTCCATTTAACCTCTTATTTACTGTGTGGGTTTAAGGAAATCTCTTAACATGTCTGAGCTTTGGTTTCCTTAAATGTAAAGTGGTGAAATCGTGCATGCCTTCTCTCTCTTGAGTTGTTTTAAAGATCACATAGATGATATGTAAAAGGACAATGTAACTTTTATGTTTGTGTAATTGCTTATAATTCTCAAAAAGCTTTTACATATCATCTCATTTGAGTTGGCTACTGTTTTTGCAAGATCACTACGAAGGCAGGGAAAGTCTTAACTCTTTCTAGCTGATAAAAAGAATCCTGGAAGATCCCCTGTATTCCATATCCTTTCCCTTCCCATCAGCACTTCCACCTATACATTCACAGATTCAGGGAACCTGAAAGGAAGTCCCATTGTGTTTCTCAGACACACATTTCTCTCAGCTGTGAATATCTCTAATCAGTTCCAGATTATCCTAGGAATTTGAGCCTGGCACAAATCATCACTGTCTACTAGAATTGAAATTTTGGCTGCCAACCTAGAGCTTCTCCCATGTCCATACTTGACATGTATGATTGGGCAGGGGGAGAGAGGATGAGAATGTGTGTCTCTAAAATGCATCATAAGTCAAACCTTGCATACAAGGTTTTCTCTCTCTGTTACAAAGGACAGCACACAGAAAATTAAAGTACACACTTAAGGCCAGTACAGACTTATGACACTTCTCCCAAGGAGAGACAGTTCCAAGCTCAGAAGTCTAGATTTTAGTGCATGGGAGGTTGACCTTACCAGTTCTTGAATGGGATAGGTTTCTCCATGTAGAAGCTGTGGAATGTAGTTAGATTCAATTGGAGACTATCTCTCATAACAAGGAAACTCACCATATGAGGGATGTTAGAGGAGAGTTATAACGTTGTATCATTTTTTTCTTTCTTTGGTTTCAATTTCCACCTTTATTCAGATGAAGCTGAAAATAAGTGGAACAGCTGGCAATAAAACCTTAGCCACTAACTTGAATTTTTTGTGAAATGCCAGTCAAGTAACAGGAATGACAGACATGTAAGTAAGCCCCAGTAGTATCCATTTTTAAAAATATGTACTGTGAATAAAAATAATAGCAATTAGAGAACTTTAAATCATATTTTAAAGGATACCGTCTTAAAATAATCACTATTCAGAATTTGATGAAAGTAAAATTTTAGGGTTATCTTCAGTTACTCATGTTCAAATAATTTTCTGTGACTAAAACTTTGGTCAAAATAGAAAATGTGTTTTTTCCTAGGATGATCTAAAGGTATTTATTGTGGATGGAAAGAATTACAGAATACAAATAATATGAAACTCAAAATTACATCAACCAAATGCACTTTGTTTTCTCAGCTGACTCAAAATAATGAGTAGCCAAGGTAATATCGGCTGCACATTATACCTTCTCACAGTACCAGGATACCTGAAGAAACAACACTTCACTCCTAGTCTAGTCAGCACCTTTGCAATTTTTCTTGGAATGACGTTAGCTTTTACATAACCCATAGTAGCAAGCTTGTGAAACAAAGAAACCGCAATTTAGTTCGGGGTAACTCTAAAATGTTTGTGTTCAAATTACCAATAAGACTCGTTTTCATGAAGGGTCTTTCTAAAATACACTTTCTAAGCCAGTGTGCGTATTTTCATCCATATTTTCAAACAGAAAAATTAAGAACAAGACGGATAGTAACTTTCTTGACAGTTATGCCTTGGTTGAGAAGTTTAGGTATTAACTCACAGCTTCCATGTCTAGACCGTTGCTGGCTCTCTGATAGTTAATTGCCTCTATTATGATATTATCATTAGAGTCCCCTTAAGATAGACAAAAGAAAATTGTAGGTTTCTAGGTCTACTCAATTAAAGCAATTGAGTTTCATAGTTTCAGGAAATGACCAATTTAACTCCTATCTGGAATTTGTGATATTGGAAACATTTGTGGAAAAGGAACACATTCTAAAGTATTTTGAAAGTTTCTTAACCAGTTTTTCTCTAAATCATTGTTCTATAGTAAACACAGACATGGATAAAATGAATTCCTAAAGATATAAATTTGGAATTTTAAATTAAGATATAATTTATTTGGTAACAAAATAAGTGGATTTTTAAATCCTCTCTTCCTTAGTAATAGAACATCTATTATGTTCTCCATGGTATGCAGACAGTAATGTAGAACTTAAGGGGTTTATATAGTTACCTAGACAATTTTATCATTTACTACATTTTTTTGAAGTTATCTTTGTAAAGAAAAAAAACTTTTTCCATTAAGGAATACATGTTATCCTGGACTTCTGGTGTCACTAAAAGGTCATTGATTTACATCTGAACTGGGTCACTGAAAGCAAACGACTATGTGGTGGCCTAAATAGGTAAAATCGTGGCATCTTTCCCAGTTTAAGAGTCATCTGACCAATTATAACTCAAAATTTAAATCAAACCTACAAGTTATTATTAGAAGAAATACTGAGATTGGTCTGAGGCTACAACATAAACAAATGTGATCTCAGATATTGGTTAATTATTTCAAAGACTAAAACATTGAAGTTTATGTTTTATGCTTCACCTGTGTATATTTGAATGCCCCACACCAATTATACATAAGATCTGGAGTGTATTCCCAACATCTTCCCAAATGAAAGACCTATGAAAAAGTATTTTATAAAAGGTGACATATTTAGAGTGAGAAGGGCTTTATGTAAGGAGGAACACATTATTCATCCTGAGCAGATGAAAAGTAAGACATAAACTTTGAGAACAAGGTGAAAGCAGAGGTGATAACTATAAAAGAATATCTTGTCAAAGAAGAAGCCCATGTCAAGCTTACTCCATCATGGAGATAAATGTCAGCCCTGCTTTTGCTCAAAGAGCACACCTAAGAGGAAAAGGCACAAAGGGTTAGAGTGCCAATAGAAAAAGACCACCTGCCACTTACCACAAATGAATAAAACAAATATATATCCATAGTCCATGGGGCAACCATAGCAAAGGACCATCTGATCCTCACGACATTGTCTTAAAGCATTCCTTACATCCCCATTAGGAATAAGAAGCCGTTAAAACCACCTATACCTACACCTATATAACTAGCACATTCCTGCTGACAGAGCTTGGAAGGCATTGAGCAGTTCTGCATTTGATCCTACTTTTTTCACAAAGAGGTGAATATCAAATATTTTAAACAGCAAGTTAAAGTTTCAGAGCAAATATAATTTAAAATTTGGTTCTGCTTTGGGAAATCTGTTTAGGAGGCATTTGTAAACAGTTGAAAGGCTCATTCTAAACTGGAATGGATTGCCCCATCCTATCAATGCCCCTGAGATGAATATGAAGTCAGCAATGGGAGTTTTTTAATTCTATGATAATTGGCTGGGAGTTCTTTGACCTTTAATTAAACAAAATACGAATTAATGAACTTTCTTTCTATTTACAGCAGAGGCTTGAAATGGTACAAGTTGGGATAACAATCAAAACAAGATGCTATTTTTTCACTAACAAATAAATACAAAACATGATGCTGAAATCTGCATACTGATATTGATCTAATTATTTATTTTGAACCTGTAATTTTTCATCTTTCTTCACTCGAAGGAAGAAAAAACATCAGGAAAAAAAGGAGCTATTTCTTCTTGGATATATATGTCACACATAAGCAATTTTCAAATGTCTCATGAGCTGGTCTCAGTATTAAAAGAGGCTTCTTTAGTCTAGCAGAATTTCAGACAAAAATTCTAGAGCCTTTATAACATAGAAGAGTTTTATGAAAGGGTCTGATTGGATGAGATGTAAAGAGATAAAATATGTACATAGTTACAATTATATTTTACAAATTAAACAAAAAACTTTTTTTCTTGTTTTGCTTTTTTCGTTTTATGCCTTAACTGGTGAACATTTAAAAATATGCTGTTAGATGAGATCGTGCCACTGCCCTCCAGCCTAGGTGACAGAGAGAGACTCCATCTCAAAAAAAAAACAAAAATGCTGTTAGAATATGGACACAAAGAAGAGAGCAGTAGATATAGATACCAGATATAGATACTTGAGGGTGAAGAGTGGGAGTAGCGTGAGGATGAAAAACTACCTATTGGGTACCATGCTCATTACCTGGATGATGAAATAATTTGTACCCCATAGCCCCACAGCACACAATTTACCCATGTACAAACCTACACATGTATCCCCTGGACCTAAAATAAAAGTTGGAAAAAAAAATTTAGGGATCATTAGCAGATCATTGCAAAATCTGCTAGGATTTTGCAGATAAACCATAAGATCCCTCGAAAATATTTTTCTTTGTAGAAACCATGTGAGTCTATACAGCAGGGTCTCAGGAGTATGAGGGATAGGCAGTAATATGTTCATCCTCCTGTTTAGTGAGAGAAGCTTCCCTGCAACAGTTTGAGAAATTGAGCATGGCAGTTTCGAAGGTATCTTCCAGCTCTAAATCCTTCTTTGTGATAATCATGAGTAATGTGATGCATCCTTACTCTGACCCCAAGCAGAGGATTCTCTACTCAGGTTCTGGTGGCCAAACCTCTCCTGCTTTCACTCACTGAGGGAATGGAAGAGTATTTCTATGAAGGAACTCCTGGGATCTCTACCCTTTCCTGTTACAGTAGCAATATGTTTGTGCCCCACTATCACCACCACATCTACTGAACTAGAGCCCATATAGACCTAATATTAGTGCCCAAAGTATTGTTGTGTATTTTTTATATTTGTATTATAATTGACTTCATTTTATAATCTCTACTATGTTTTTTCTTTTTCTTAATCACTTATATGCAATGTCTATCATATTTATTGTTATACATACTTATGATGACTTTAAATCCTTTTTATAGAATTGGGATACAGCATTAAAATTTTATTGTAATGATTATGTTTCCAGCTATGAGGCATTAAATATTATGTAGTCCAAAACTTACAACTCTGTGAGGTAGGTATTTTCTTATTTATTTATTTATTTATTTATTTATTATATTTTAAGTTCTAGGGTACATGTGTACAATGTGCAGGTTTGTCACATATGTATACATGTGCCATGTTGGTGTGCTGCACCCATTAACTCGTCATTTACATTAGGTATATCTCCTAATGCTATCCCTAAGGTAGGTATTTTCATTGTTTTTTTTTTTAGAACAAGGAAACTAAGATTCGGGAAAGGCACTTGCCAAGGGGAAAAGTTACTCAGTGTCCTTAGAGCTAGGATTCAAGCCCAGGAAACTTCCCTCTAAAAACCATACTACTAATTACCTTTCTCAAGAACCTTCCAATTAGAATATTGTCAGAAAGTCACAATAAGTTATTTTGGTACTTGATTAGGCATGAAATCTTTGTGAGATAGCAGGCCGTTTCTGATTCTGATTCCTCAAGTCAGCTGGCCTTTTCTCTTTCCTTCTTGAGTCATTATCTTTTTGCTTTTTCTACTGTCCCTTCACTGACCCTCCAAACTTCCAGTCCACCTTCTCTGGAAATATCTTTCCACAATTTTAGTTCCTTTTTTGGCCCCAGAAATGTACCTCAGCTTCAGGTCTAAACTACTCTAAACTTCAGGTCAGAAGCATTAATTAATTTGTTTATTCATTCAATAAATATTTATGAGTGCCTACTACATAGCACTGGGCAAACTGTAGTGAAGGGAACACACATGCTCCCTGTTCTCATGTTTCTTATGTTCAATAGGAATAGATAACACTAAACAAGTAAGTATATAGCATAACGTATCAGACACTGGCAGGTGTTGTGGAGAAAATAATGCAGGGCAAAGGAAATAGAGAAGTCTGAGCCTCAGAAAATAGAGAAGTGTTGTTACATTTATAAGGATGTCCAGGAAAAGCCTGTCTGATAAGGTAATATTTGAGCAGAGACATAAAAGAAATGTGAATTTAAAAGTGATGCTCTGAGGAAGAGACTTAGGGGCAGAGAAAATAACAGCATGAGTAAAGGCCCAGAAACAGGAATAATCTTGTGTTTCCCTAACAATGAGAAGGGCTGTGCGCTGGAACTGAGTGAGAATGAATGGATTCCTAAAATTGCTTGACTCATCTATAATTCATTCAAGAATGGCATTTGACTTCTAAGATAGCCATTTTTCAGAAAATTTATTTTAGATTATATTAATTTTTTATACATATGTTTATCGCTTCACAGAATAAAAAAGGCTTTTCCCAGATATTATCTCCTTTTCTCCTCAAAACATGCTGTCACTGGATCATGGGTCTAATTTGATTTGATTATCCCAGCAACTGACACAAGACATGATGCATAGTAAGCACTCAATAAATGTATATGGAATTAATTAGTTGATGTATTAATTCTGTGGCACAATTTCTAATTTTTCACCTTTACCATGTTCATTATTATTGAACATCAGTGATGGGACTATAATTCAGTGAAGCTTCAGAAGCTATAAAGATTTATCTAGCCATTTGCCTGTACCCTAACTTATATATGTATCTAATTTTTGTGCTGATTTACACTTTTTCTGCCTAACTCTTCCATTAAGTTCTTTAACATCTTTCTTCGCAATCAGTTTATGTATATTCCTAACTTATCGTATCTAATCTGCTATATTCTTGGAAACCAGATCACAGGCCTGTTAGACCTATATGTATGTAAAATAAAGTGACTTTTAAGTGAGAGCATGAAACCCTTTCTTAAAGAATAAATTTGCCTTAGTTCATTTGTACTGCTACAACAAAATGCCACAGACTGGGTAATTTATAAATAATAGAAATTTAGTTCTGGGAGCTGGAAATTCCAAGGTCAAGGCACCAGCAGGTTCAGTGTCTAGTAAGGGTTAAGTGTCTCTGCTTCCAAAATGGAACCTTGTTGCTGCATCCTCCAGAGGGGACAAACACTGTATTTTCACATGGCAGAAGGGATGGGAAGAAGCAAGCCCACTTCCTCAAGCCTTTTTATAAGGTCATTGATCCCAATCATGAGAGCTCCACTGTCATGATTTAATCACCTCCTGAAGGCCTCACTTCTTAATACTACCACACTGGCAATTAAGTTTCAACATATGTATTGTGGGGAACACATTCAGACCATAGCAAAATTCACTAACTTTACTACTTGCTTCCTAACAGCTGTTCTGATCTCATAGGCATTTTGCTTATTTTTGCATCTGCAATGTAATTCTAGTGGATTAAAGTTGTTAGGCACAGTATACAATTGTGCCTTTCCCCCAACTTGCATCCAAAGAAAATTATAACGCATTTCATCCCATCAAACTTATAATCTATGGTATAATCTAAAGCCACATTAAGAGGTTATTCATCACACCAAACTGATCTCATTTACCAGAAGTAGCCACAGCTTACAGGTTTGTCTGAGCCCTTCTTTTTCCTCACTGAAGCAAGGGTTCCCAACCAATATTGATTATCTACCCACTTGGTGCAACATGATTGTAAATGTGCCCCTTGTTTTGGGGTACACTTAATGTGTCCTTTCCATAGAAGTCATTATCTCTATTTACCCTTTAGTTACCCTATACAAATTTTCAGTCAAATATTATTCTTTCCTCTTCTGACTAAGAATTTTTTGGCATTACCAGTAATTAATTTATTCTTTCATTCTTTCAGCAAGACTCTATTGGGAGCCTACTACATGCCAAGCACTGCTCTGGGCACTGCAGATTTAGCATTGTAGAGGCAGAGGTTACCTTTATTCTGTTAGCTAAATGAATAGCTCTAAGGGTAAGAGCTAAATAGATGGCTATAAATAAAGGTACACCAATAGTAATAGCGATAAATTCTATGAAAAAATAAAGCAGAGAATCCAGGTATAGCGTGATAGGCTGAGCATTTATTTAAAAGAGGGTGGTCACAAAAAATATATAAGCATGTGAAGTGATGGACATGTTAATTAGCTTAATTTCACCATTTCACAAGTACATTTATTAAAACATCACCTTGTACACTATAAATACATGCAATTTTTATTTGTCAATTATACCTTAACAGAGCTGGGTGAAATTTTAAAAAAAAGAAAAAAGAGTGGTCAAGGAAAGCCTCACCAAAGAGGTTATGTGTAAGTGGAGACCTGAAAGAGTAAGGAAGTAAACCACATGAGTATTTGGGGAGAGCATATCCTTAAGAGGAAACAGAAAGACTAAAACCTTGAGGTGTGAACAAACTTGATATGTTCTAGGAGTAGCATAAAGGCAAGTATGTCTAGAGCATAGTGAGTAGGAAAGGAAATGATACAATATAAGGCCTAAGGCAAGGACCAAGTAATGTAAGGATTTTTGAACATCAGTTGTCACTACTTCCCAACAGTTCATTGTGTGTTTGACTTGGTGCTACTTCTGGACAGTTTTCTTAAAGTCAGTGTAAAGAGCATAGGACATGTATTGCAAATAATTTTGGTAGGGTAACTTGCATGATACCATATTAATAAAATTCAGGAGAAAATATGGAGACAACAGTACTCACAGTTGTACATTCTGTTTTTTTTTTTGTGGTTGTTGATGCAGGTGAAATTCACTTATGTAAAATTAACTATTTTAAAGTAAACAATTCAGTAGCATTCAGCATATTCACAGTATTGTGCCACTACAACCTCTGTCTAATCCAAAACATTTTCATCACCCCAAAAGGAACCCATCCTCATTAATCAGTTGCACCCAATTTTCCCTACACTGGCAACCACCAATCTACTCTCTCTATCTATGGCTGTACATACTCTAGATATTTCTTGTAAATAGAAGCATACAATATGTGGCCATATATGTCTGGCTTCTTTCACTTAGCATAATGTTTTTGAAGTTCATCTATGTTATAACATGTATCAGTACATAATTTGTTTTCATAGTTGAATAATATTTCATTGTATGTACATAGGCAAATTTGTTTCTCCATTCATCCACAGATGGACATTTCAATTGTTTCTACTTTTTAGCTATCGTGAATAGTACAACCATGAACATGTATGTAGAAGTATTTGTCTGAACACTGTGTTTTGTTCTTGTGGTACATACCTAGAAGAAGAATTGCTAGATCATATGGTAATTCTATGTTTAACTTTTTGAGTAGTCACCAAAATGTTTTCCAAAGGGGCTGAACCACATTACAGTCCCACAGCACTCTGATTCTTAAACTACCTCTATATACAGATGCTCCTTGAAATACACTGGGATTATATTCTCATGTATTGAATGCATGTCACTTTTACACCATCATAAAGCTGAAAAATCTTTACTTGAACCATCATTAAATCAGGGCTTGTCTGTTCTCTGCAAGCTCTTGCTTCCTCATACCTTATCTTCCCTAGATTGGAGCTGTTTATACTGAGTTATCATACTTTGCCAAAACTGATAACCTGATTAGTTGGTTCTCCCAAACCAGCTGAAATGGACTTTAATTAGAAAAACTAAGAAAAATAAAATTAATAAAAATATAAAGCTAAACTTTAGAAGCTAAAATTCTGTTGCATAATTTCTAACCCAAACTACCCTAGTCATGATATATATAAAAGATAGACGGATAGACAGATAATCTTCTATTGATTCTGTTTCACTAGAGAACCCCAATACATACTCCATTATGGCTAGAGTAGATAGATAGATAGATAGATAGATAGATAGATAGATAGATAGATAGATAGACAGTTAGGCAGATGTATTATAAGGAATTGGCTTATGAGGTTATGGAGGCTGAGAAGTCTCAAGATATGCAGGCAGCAAGCTGGAGATCCAGCAGAGCTAAGTGTGTAGTTCCTGTCCAGGTTTGAAAATCTGAGAACCAGGAGAACTGGTAGTGTGCATTCCAGTCTAAAATCTGACAGGTTCGATACTCAAGAGTCAATGTTTCAGTTTAAATCTAAAGATAGGAAAAGATCAATGTTCCAGCTCAAGGCAGTCAGGCAGAAGGAGCTCCCTCTTACTTGCAAAATAGTCAGTCTTTTTGTTCTACTTAAGACTTCATGTGATTGGATGAGGGCCACCATCTTTAGAGAAGGCAATCTGCTTTACTCAGTCTACTAATTGAATGTTAGTCTCATCCAAAACATCCTCACAGACACACCCATAATAATGTTTGACCAATTATCTGGGCACCCCATAGCTCATTCAAGTTCTCATGTAATGTTAACCCTCACAGAGTACTTTTGAGCCAGCACAATTTTTAGGACCTCAACTGAATTCAGATGGCCCTTATATAACCCATGTTGTCTAGAGTATTTCTTATTGGAGAATCCACAGTATCTGTTAATTATGAGGCTTATGAAATCATTGATTAGCTGAATTATTTCCTTACTGTGTACCAGTAACTGTACCAAGAAGTGAACACTAAAGATTTCATACTCAAAAGGAAAAACAACTCATAAATAAATAAATTAGAAACTACCTTGAACTATTTGAAATCAAGGAATAGAACAGTGATTCTTAACAGTGTGGTATAATGTCCCCTATATCAAAATCACCCAGGGTATGTTGCCTTTGCTCAGAATGATTGTTCTGAATCTCTGGGTTAGGACCCGGAAGTCTACATTTTGTTAAGTTTCCCAGATAATCTTTATGTACATAGAAGTTTGAGAAGCACTGATAGGAAATGCTTTTATTTTAGCAATTTTCAAAATAATTTGAAATCAAATGTTTTCTAATTACTTTTTCCAATTTGAATTATGTTGAAATTCTTCACCAAGATTCAAAACAGTTTATGAAAATAAAGTAGTAAATAAGTGTTCTACAATGGCCATTTTCAAATCTTTATGAGTTTATTGCCTTACTAGATCAATCAAAATTCATTCATGTTCCCATTCAATAAATACTTACTTTCCCTTCTGTTCTTGACATCACGCTGGGTTTTGGGAATGCAGCAGTGAATAGGATAGACATTGCTCATGGAGTTTATAGTCCAGCTTTAATCTCACATTTTGTTTTTAACACATAACACAAACCTTTTTTTGGAAGGGGGTGGGTTGCTGAACATTTAATTACTGTGGTTTTTTTTAAGTATTTAGCATTTTCATGTCTTGAGCAGAACAGATGCGCTACTTAAGGAGTTTCATACCTCTGCAACTAAAAGGAAATCTATTTGTTCTGCAATAACAGTAAGTGGATTGAGACACCTCAGTCCCCTCATGTGAAATCTTACAGCTCTGCTTCCTTTTCTGCTTTCCTGTTAAAAGCAAGTATTTTAAATTAAGGTATTAAAATTATGTTTATAGTAATATATAAACATCCCTTTTCTGCACAATTGAATGAATGAGATTTAACTAATAGTTTCCTAGAGATACTATATAGCAAAAAATAATGAACTATTTTTAACACTTATTTTCTTTTAAAAAGTACATTAGTATTTTGACTAAGCATGTCAACCATAAGCTAAATAGCATATGCATAACAATTTCAAGTGAATACTTCGTGATGGTAGCACTTACTTAATAGTTTTCTCTTTTCCCCACTAACCTGTCATTATTTGCCAATTTCAGCTCAAGAACTCCTCTGGGAAAATCATTCTTCACCGCTGTAATTTAGAGGTTATATATAATGTATGCTCAAGACCAGTTAAAGTATGTAACAGAAGTAACTCAAGATTGCTCTATAACTCTTTTCTCTGCTTTCACACAAACCTTTGTCCTTACTCTGTTATTACAATAGAAACAATAAAATACATAAGCATTCAGGTGAAGAATGAAAATTCACTAATGTCATTTAGAAAAAATACCAAGAAGGGTTTATATGAAGGATATAAAGCCCTGTGAAGTTACTATAATACAGCTACTTGGATTATCTTCCTGTTTAGTGCTGATTAACTCCAAAAGTGTTACGGCTCAATTTAAAAATATAGTTTAAAATTTTAGGCATATGCCTGATGTTTTCATGTGAGTAACAGAAAGTAATGGAACATGGAATTTTCTGACAGGACAATAAGGACCTTTTAAAGTTGGCAGAATTACAAAGGATTTCATTCACAAAGCTAAAACTCAACTTCTGTGTATTAGGAAAGGATTTAAGACCATATATCCATTTCTCATTTGATCTTCATACAAAACCTGGGAGTTACATATTGTTATTCTTGTTTTCCAAGGGGGAACTGTGATTTGGAAAGGTTCAGTAACTTGTCCAAGCCTCGTATTATTACTGCATAGTAATCAAGTAGCAGAGCCAGAGTCCTAAGTCACTCGGATTTCAATCTGCTGCTGTTCTGCCATGGTCATGTATGTTGGTGAGGCCAAGCACAAGAACTGGGCATTCAGCAGATGGTGGCCTTGGCCTAAGGCAATTTAACAAGAGCGAAGATAATCTCTAAGACTCCTCACTGTACTTAGCAAATTCCTAGGTGAAAGCTCATAGAAAACACAGTCCAGCCTTTGGTCTTTAAGACTATTTTAATCTGGCAGGACAAATACAGTTTCTACATTTTTATATGTAGACTTCACATTTAGAATATGGGCAACTGAGAGCTGAGTGATTGTTTTGCCATTAGGAGTGTTAATTAAGTTAGATAATGCAGTGCTATGTCTATAGATTTCTTGTCAAGGGAGTTTAAATACTGTTGCAAAAACTGACTGGGTATTATGCTTCCCACTAGCTTACCTATCTTTCCTGCATTCTTTCTTATTTCCCTGCTGAATGTCAATTGTGTAGGTAGGTCAAATAGTAAAGTTGATCCTGGCCTTATTATTTATTTTCCTCTAAGGGTATCTTTCCTCTAATTGTTCCTGAGGCCCTACTCTAATATTAACCTAATTAACTGTTTTCAGCATATTTCAATGTTTTTCTTGTCTAAGCACAAGTCTTGTATAGTCTTTCCAGTTCTAAACCTGGTCAGAGAGAGACTAAGGTGGTCATTGGAGCACTTCATGGTGCTCCAGTGTCCTGCAGTCCAACTCTGCAGATTGTACAGTGAGTAAGTGTTCTTTAATCTGGATGCCAGTGGGTAAACATTACTAGTTTGGCTGGTGTGGTGGCTCATCTTATGTGTGAACGTAACTAAGCTAAGGGATGCCCATATAGCTGCTACAACATGATTTGAGGTGTGTCCGTGGGAGTGTTTCTGGAAGAGATAAGCTTTTGAATTGGTGAGCTAAGTAAAGCAGATGGCCCTCCCCAATGTAGGGGGCATCATCCAATTTACTGAGGGATTGAATAGAACTAAGAGGTGGAGGAAGGGCAAATTCACTCTCTCTGCTTGAGCTGAGGCATCCATCTTTATCTGCCTCAGACATAGGCGCTCCTGGCTTCAGGCTTTCAAACTGCCACTTATACCATCACCCACCACCACCACCAATTTCTCAGGCCTTCAGATGCAAACTGAATTATATCACCAGCTTTCTTAGTTCTCCAGCTTGCCTCCACAACCACATGAGCCAAATCCTGTAATAAATGGCCTCCTATATCTATATCCATATCTATTTCCTATCGTCCTGTCTCTGGAAAATCCTAAATAATATAGCTGACTATTCACTGACCAATCTAGTCTTCCCATTCCCCTCATACCTTTAGGCTTTGAAAACTAAAAGTGACAGTTAAATATTGAAAGTGGAAAAAAGAGCATCCTTGTCTTCGTTTCTGGAAGATTATGTCACCACAGTTCTGTATGCCAGTGATAAGAGGGTTCATGTTGTATTCTTGTTGTTTCCATGGACAACAGAAGCAGTGAGCTTTGAAATCCAAAATCCTTGTTAAGTCACCTCTTTAGCTCTTAAATAGCTTTGTGACCAAGGGAAAGCCACTTAAACTATGTAAATCATGTCTACCACTTCTGAAATGGGAATAATAATCTCTAGTATACTAAGTATATCTGATGCCTGGAGGAGGTATGAGTGCGTGTACACGCGTGTGTGTAGATAGACACATAGGCATAGGAGCTTATCATTTGCTGCTTAATTGATTTCATTTACTCTAGCAAATATAGACATTTATATTTCTAAATAGTATATGATTGACTATAAAATATTAACTCTAAAAGTACTGTGCTCAAACAAAAATATTTTTATCTGCTAAAATAGGCCAAAATATAATCTAAGAAGCATAAATAAGAAACAAAAAAATTATCAAGACATTCCACCAAGAATGCCACACGTGTCATCAACACTAACATAAATCTTCATGTAAAACTTCTTTGCAATTACTTTTAATTTCAATTTCTGCCTCTTCATCTATTTGATTTATTCTGCTAACAAAAGTTAGAGAAAATTCAAAGGCTATCATTTTGCTCAGTTCTCAGAACTCAGATTCTTTAAATTAGTTCTTTTTTGTCTTCAACTAGATATTTTAATGCCTGCAAACTTTCTTAGCTTTACAGAATGAAGACTTGAAAAAAAAAAAAAACTAAGTTAGTGGGGTAGCATACAGATTAAAATTTGGAAAGATAATTTTGAAATTTTTGTGTTAAATTGTATTTGAAATGCAATTATCATATAATTAAGTTGCACACTATGTTCCCTTCTAACACTCTGATTAGCATTTTCAACTGTTTTGTTTGCTAAAGCATAAACAATTATTTTCTGCTGCAGAAATGGTTGCTTCATTGCTGTAGCCATGAGTGGCTTAATGATGGAGGTGTGTTCTAAAAAATGTGTTGTTAGCCAATTTTGTTGTTGTGTAAACATCACAGAGTATACTTACACAAACCTAGATGGTATACCCTACTACACACCTAGGACCACCAAAATATACATGCTACATTGTTGACTGAAACATCATTATGAGATTCATAACTACATAAGTATGTGTTGATACACAGAGCAGTATTTATATTAGTCAAAAAAGTAAACAACTTAAATGTACAACAATAGGATAAAATGGGTAAATAAATTATAGTATACTCATTTGATGCAATATTCTGCATTCATTACAAAATTTGGTTTTGGAAGATTAATGTGATAGGAGAAAGCCCATGATATACTGTCAAATGAAAATTCAAAACTCTGTATTTTTAATCCTGATTGGTATAGCTTTAATTTTTATTTTATGGCACTAATTTACCTATATAACTATATGCCTGCAAATATTATTATATATGTTTATTTATTGAGAAAAAATGGAAAGAAAACACATCATAATACTTTATTAGTGATTTTAATTATTTTTAATTAGAAAAAATGTTATTTTAAAAATAATAATTGATACATGGAATTGTAAATTACCTTCCTATATATAGTACAGTATTTTGGAAAAACTAAAAACAAAAGTCCCATTTTTCAATAATCAAGCCACTTTTGAAGGTAGACATCTATGTTCTTAGGGTTCCTGGATTGGCATTTGAGGAGACCACTAAATTGTGCCTCTTCAGACAATCGTGATTCCTTACCTCCTCCATGACCACAGTACTCTATCAGATGGGTTTTGCTTGCCCAGAATACATGTGGTTTTCTGTCTGTGGTCGTGGAGCACTGACTTAATTTATTATAATTAGAATTTTAGATATGATCACACCATTTTAGACATGTTGCATATACAGAATAAAGTATAATTTTATATCATTTTTATATTTTGTTCATAGTAATGAGTAGACTACTTCAGTTTAAAATAGAATAATGCTGAATAAAATCATTCTAGTAATGAAGGGTTTAGTGAAAAGGATATGACCTAAGAATATTGCTGGGTACTTAAGCTTTTTACAAGGGTTAGGCCAGTAACAAATATATTTTTAAAAGGTGGGAATAATGGATGAATGTATAATAATGTTCTCATAAACATCTGCAAAATCTGGTTTACAAAAACAACATAAAAGATGACAAATATCACTGTTTATCTTAAGTATATAAAATATCATCTAGAAATAATTTTCCCCTCTTTACCATATATAGGCATAATTAGTATCTGCCATCTGTTTCAATGTATCTTTTATGTGTTTAGTGTTTATTTCTAGAATATCAAATAAATAGGTAAAATGGAAATTCAAATCTGCAAATTCAGGGCTAATTTAGTAACTTAAATCATTGTATTCTAGTTGACTAAGAGGTTAGTTCGCAGGAACTTTATTTAGCTTCTAAGGCCTAAGAAGAAGACAGGTTTCTTATATATAGTTTTTCTTATCAAGTTTTGTAAATGTACATTAAAAATGCAATCAAGGATCACAAAGCAAAGTTCGAATTCCAATTAAGTTTGAACAAAAAGAAAGGCAAAAAGAAGGTTCATTTTACCAAATTGTAAGACTTAAAGCACTGAACACAAAAAAAATATGTTCAAATAGATTTCGAATCTATATTTTAACCACTGAAAGAAGAAAAATAAGAGACTGAAATGAAGTGAGTAAAATGGAAAAAGAAGAAAGATATGATCTAAGTGGAAGGAAAGATAGGAAGGGTGGGCTAGAATGTTCAACTGGGGAACAACAGAATTGAGAGAGGAAGAAGGGGAGAAGAAAGAAAGGGAAGATATTATAATTGTCAGCATTATATATATATATTTATACACAAAATGTGTGTGTATTATAATTGTCAGCAGTACAAATATACAGACACTTGTATATGTATACTATATATCTTACACCTAGGTATATCCTTCCCCACACCAGGGTCCAGCATCTGACCTAGAAGTCCCATTTGTAACTTCATCATGTCCAGCTGGCTGGATTCCTCCTCCCCCATCCAAACCGTGCCCCACCTTGTAAGGACCTAACCTGTCCCTGATGACATTGCTGTCAGTTCATTCTTTTGCTCCCATAGTTAGGTGTAGAGATCCACCAACAGGCCTGTCTTCTATTTCTGAGTGTCATCAGGACGCACATATTACATGGTTCAGCTGTGCACACCAAAAAGCTTGCTTATGTTAAGAGAGTAGTGATACCAAAAGAATTAGATAGCTAAATTTCAAAAACTTACCATTGGCTAGATGAGTCTAAATTTGAACCCAGAAGTTCTCTACCTCTGCTTTTAAAATCAGGAAGAATCTCTTGCATTCAGATAAAGCATACAATCATGGGGTAGTCAATGAATAAAAAACTCTATCTGCTTATGATCCAAAAAAGTTGGGACCATAAACATGATGAGGCAGACCTTCCAGATGTCAGCTTTATAATTAAGAAAATAAGATTTAGTTGTGGGCCCAACTGTATTAAGGAAAGGGAGAAAGAAGATAAGGTGTGATAGAGTAGAAGGAATGCCTAATTTGGATCTATATCCGTAAGCTAGGATACCACTAATTTCATCTATGAAAGATCATTTACAAATCTAACAGCATTACTTTCTGCCTAGTTGAAGTGAACACTCAACTACCGTGTGTGTGTATGTGTATGTGAGAGAGAGACAGAGACAGAGAAGGAGACAGAGAGAGGGAGTATAAGAATCAGACTTAAAGATTGAGAAAGAAAAAAGAAGAAAGAAAAGTACATTAAATACTCAGCATGGTAAATATTTTATAGGATATAACAATTAAAACTCTGATTCAAAATAGCTTTACTTATCAGAAGTAGGATATTTTATTAGTCTGTTTTTTAATGAAAGGGCAAATTAGAGATCTACTTTACTATGATATCTCATTTTGAACAACAATCATTATCTTTTGGGAATCTCAGATTTTGATTTTGAAAACCAAAGACTTGTCTGAGAAATAATCTGTTTCTTTCAACATACGTTCTTGCATAGCTTCACTAAAAATGAGTGCCCTTCTTTTGGCAATTGGTGATCTATATGCCTGAAGGGTAAATTGGATATATTTTATGTACTAGATCGTAGTTCTTTTGATACCTACAGAATAAACTCTTTTCATTTAACTTCCTTTTTCCAACTGACACTTTTTGCTGATTTATTGCAAGCTAAAGGATAAATAAATGTATGTGTTTCATGTAAACTCAAAAGTATCTCTCTAGTTTTAAAGTGATAAAGAAACTATTTTCCACCATTTAATTCTCACATGTATAAGGAACTGGTTTTATCCTCTGAATGCAAAAAGGATATATCTTTTGGAAACTTTTTAATGCCATTCTTTACCTGATACATTTTTTAAATTATGTATTTCAGGCCCTGCTTGATACTCAGAATCTTTTGCGTGCACAAATCACAAATTTTACATTCAACCTGGGATTTTCAGGGAAATTTTACCATACAGGTAAGAAAAAGGGATTAACTGTTCTCATTAAGGCTTCTCTGATCACTCTATTTAAAATTGCACACTTTTCCTGCCCACACTGTCCTACATTCCCTATGTTCCTCCCCAGCATTTTATCATTCAATTCTATTTAACATGCTATTTTTTAATTTTTGTAAAATATTAATGGTTTGAAAGTTTATGGAACTATCTGATGGCCTTTCATTTTTATTGAATTATAATTTACATATATAGAAGTACATAAATAGTAAATGTGATATTCAGTGAATTTTCAACGTGTACACAGCTGTGTAAAGAACAGGCAGATCAAGAAAGAGAACACTTCCAAAATCTCCACTTCTTGTGCCCCTCACAATAACTAACTTCTCTCAAAGAAGAGTAGTATTCTGACTTCTAATATCATGAATTAGTTTTGCTTGGCTTTGAGTGGTATGTAAAAGGAATCATACAGTAAAGATTCATCTGTATCCAGCTCATTTTGTACAATGTTATTTTTGTTTCAGAAATATTACTGTCTATAGGTTATAATTCTTTCCTTTTCCTTGCTGTACAGTATTCCATTGTCTGAACATACAAAATTTACTTGTCTATTCCATTAAGCTGTAGATGGTTGGGTGTTTCCAGACTTTGAGTTTTTCTGAATAGAAATGTTCATAACTTCCTGTTACGAACATTTTTATACCTGTCCTTCAGAGGACTTGAGTATTCTTTTCTGTTAATCATCAACTAGGAATGGAATTGCTAGTTATGTGGCACACTTATAATTAATTTTAGTAGAAAATGTCAGTTTTTCAAAATGGTTGTACCTGTTTATATTCCCAACAGTATGAGTGTTCCTGTTGCTCTGTATGCTTGCCAGTATTTGATATTGTTTGTCTTTTTAATTTTAGCTTTTCTGGTGAACATGTAGAGATATCATATTAGGGTTTTAATGTACATTTCTCTGAAGAGCAGTAAATGATCTTTGTTCGTATGTTGGCTGGCTATTTGGATATCCTCTCTTGAGGAGTATCTGGGTTTTCTGCTTTTACTTAATGATTTGTAGAAATTCTTTCCTTGAAGTTTACAGTTCCATGTGTTCCAAGTACTTTCTCCTGCTGTCTGGCTGTCTCTTAATTTTCCTTATGGCGTTTTTAATGAACAAAAATACTTAATTTTAGGCCGTTCAATTTATCATTTTTTTCTTTAATGGTCATTCTTTTCTATCTTATTTAAGAAATCTTTGCATACTACAAGAACATGAATTTTTTTTCTTTTTGAGACAGGATCTTGCTCTGTTGCCCAGGATAGAGTGCAGTGGTGCAAACACAACTCACTGCAGCCTCAACCTCCTAGGCTTAAGAAATCCTCCCACCTCAGCCTTTTGAGTAGCTGGGACTACAGGCCCATGCCACCATGACTGGCAAATTTTTCTTGTAGAGAAGGGGTCTCACTATGTTGCCTAGGCTGGCAATGTATAAATCTGTGATACATCTGGAATTGATTTTTGTGCATATATCAGATAGGGGTCTTTTTTTCATAAAAATATCTAATTGGTTAGCCAGACATGGTGACATGTGCCTGTAGTCCCAGCTACTCAGGAGACTTAGATGGGAGGATAACTTGAGCTCAGGAGGTCTAGGCTGCAGTAAACTATGTTCATGCCACTGCGCTCCAGTCTAAGCAACAGAGCAAGAATCTGTCTCTTAAAAAAAAATCTAATTGGCTGGGTGTGGTGGCTCATGCCTGTAATCCCAGCACTTTGGGAGGCCGAGGCGGGTGGATCGCGAGGTCAGGAGATCGAGATCATCCTGGCTAACACAGTGAAAACCTGTCTCTACTAAAAATACAAAACATTAGCCAGGCATCGTGGCAGGCCCCTGTAGTCCCAGCTACTAGGGAGGCTGAGGCAGGAGAATGGCGTGAACCCAGCAGGCGGAGCTTGCAGTGAGCCGAGATTGCGCCACTGCACTCCAGCCTGGGCTACAGAGCGAGACTCCATCTCAAAATAATAATAATAATAATAATCATCATCATCATCATCTAATTAGCACCCAGTATTGAAAAGACCATCCTTTCCCACTGCTTCATAGTGTCATTATTATCATAAATTATATGGCCATGTAACTGTGGACTCTCATTCTGAATTTCCCTATTAAATGTGAAAAGAAATCACTCTAAATATTGAGAATAATTAAAAAGTTTTTTCACAATCATAATTAAAATGAGTAAAGATATTTTGACTTGCCTCAGGATAGATGAACACAATTTCATGATTGAAAGCATTACTCTGTATTTTTAGAAGTTAAAAAAACTGATTACATGTATTGGTATACTCATATAATGGAATACTCTGCAGTCATTAAAAAGAGATAATTTTAAATATAAACCATATAGAAAAAGCTCTCAAGATACACTGAAAAATCAGTGTACAGTACAGTGATTAGAACATGCTCCCATTTGTATAAAAATAAAGAAGATAAAAGCTATACAAAAGTCAAGGTATAGTACAGTGATTAGAATATGTTCCCATTTGTATAAAAATAAAAGAGGAGGTGAAATCTGTACAACTCTATGTATAGAACTCTTGTAGCTTAGAAAACTCAGTTACCAAGTAGTTAAGTAACTTGTGCCATGCAAGATGTCTTAAATAAGATAGAAAAGGCTGACCATTAAAGAAAAAAATGATAAACTGAATGACGCTAAAATTAAGTATTTTTTATATAAAGGGCTATTAATACAAGTATAGGATATCTGTGGGAGAATTCATAATAAACTGATAGTAATGGGTAACTATGAATGTATTAGTTTTCATGCTGCTAATAAACATATACCTGAGACTGGGTAATTTATAAAGAAAAGAGGTTTAAAGGACTCACAGTTCCACATGGCTGGGGAGGCCTCACAATCATGGCGGAAGATGAAGGAAGAGCAAAGGGGTGTCTTACATGGCAGCAGGCAAGAGGGCTTCGTAACTTAATGCAGGGTAACTTCCATTTATAAAACCATAAAATCTCGTGAGACTTCTCATTCACTATCATGAGAACAGTATGGGGGAACCTCCCCCATGATTCAATTATCTCCAACCAGCCCCAGCCTTGACACATGGGGATTATTACAACTCAGGGTGAGATTTGGGTGGGGACACAGAGCCAAACCATCTCAGTGAAGAAGAGAATTTGAGAATCAAACAAGAGAGATGAAAAGAAGAGTTACTTTTTACTAAATTTTTTCTGAGCCTTTGCATTTTATAACATATATGTGTGTTAGATCTAAATGAATAAACACATAAGTAATTTTTTAAAGTGATATCATATTTAAGCAAGTTTATCAGTTTTCTACAATTGCAAATGCTTTTCAAATTTTTCATTTGATAATATGAGCAAGAGTTACTTTGTATGTATTTGATGAGTACCTTCAAGGGTTTAATAAACATATCATGCTGAGAATTCTATCTATATACTACTAACATCAATATAATCTCCATATGCACATAAACAACATAAATAGTAATTTTATTTTTAGATAGAAGCATACTGTATTTCTAGAGTAAGTCAATTTCCATTTGTTTCCATGGAAGTTAGAGAGCCATGAGACTTGACTATAGTATTTTCCTATTGTAAAATTGTGTAATGAATACAATATGTATAATCATACAACTACATATAACTTTCACCTACCAATTTGAAAATTGTGTAGGATTTAAGAATAACTTTAACATAAGAAGCGTGGAAGCTTTTATTCCTCTGAATTTCTTAGATCAATATATAAAATACACATTTTCTGTGATTATTTTAAATATTAACAACTGGGAACCTCATGATTATGTTTGACTTTGTTTTATGATTCATTGAGTTGGTTCTTATTGTAACCTCAAAAATAAAAACATAATTAGATATCTATTTTAAATCTTTTGCTTACAGGAAAGTTCTTCTACCTTGGCAATAGATATGTGAAGTGAGAACTTTCTCTTTATGTGCAGAGGTTTAGTTCATCTTTCTAGTGAAGTTAGACTCATAGCATAACTAACTTTCACAATGGAGAGCTCCAAGAGCTTAAGGAAACAGAAGACTGCCCACAACCTCTTCCTAAACTTCTGAGTTAGGATATCCTAACTTCAGGATGATTATCTTAGATTCTTTGACATCCATTGAATAAAGGAAAATTATCATATGGATGAAAAACCACCATGGCAAAATTAGGGTGAAATATGTGGTGTGTTTAGGGGGAGAGGGAGAGAGTAGGAAGAGACATCACAGCAAAACCAGGACAGCCCAGATATGCTCAAGAAATACAAGAAAACACTCCTGGCAACTCCATTATTTTTTTGCCCATCGTTGAATACTGGGGAATGATGCTAGCCAATTCATGTCATTCCTTCTCATCTCTGCAAGGTTTGTCCTCTTTCTTTACTTGGGCACTTCCCACAGCTCATAATAAGAGTATCCTCTCCCTAAGTGAGAGAAAGTACAACACAGATGGAAACAGAGGCCAAGGTTTGAAAGGGTCTTGTTAGCTGTGTATAATATGAGAGTTTCCACAAAACTTAGCCAGGGTTGTCTAAGACCAGTTAAATCATTTTTTAGAGGGAAAAGATACAAAATTTAATATTTGATCTTTCAAAAATTAGATGGGATAAAAAGTAATTGAATTATATTGTCTTCCTTTCTAAATGAAGAAATTGCTATTCCTTTTTCTATAAAAAAATTCTATCCATTTTACTCAGTCTTGAAGGGAAAAAGAAAAGTGGCATTGTCATAACAGTAATACTTTATGTCAGAAGAGAGCTTTATCTTGTTTGATTTATTTTAATTTTTGAAGGGTATGTGCATTTATGTGAGAAATAAAGGGGTAAAACATAAAAATCATAGTTCCCTTTTAGTGCTTTGTTAAACACTTTTCATGTACTTTTTCACTGAATCCTAGAAGTTAAAGAACGTGTTAACTTGTTTTCTAGATAAGAACATAGAAACTTAAAGGGGCCCAAGGTCACATAGCTTGTGAAGTGTCAAAAAATAGTCTTAACTCATCCTTGACTAGGGAAGCTGAATGGCAAAAGATTCTCCTTATTTATAGATTTGTTAGCTTTTTATGTTTCCCCAAATCACTGAGATCCAGTAGTACCTGTACATTCTAATTATATTATAGAATAAATTAACAATGAGAAGAGCAATGTTATATTGAATGAATAAATGCTGATCTTATTTCTAGACTCAACGTTTGGCCAGTGAATGATAGTTAAGGGCCCTGAATTTGGAGTTGCTCAATCTGAGTTAGAACTCAGAATTTCAATTCAGGCTCTGTCTCAAACCTCTCAGTGAGATGGAACAAGTTACTTCACCTCTCCAAATGTCAATTCCCTTATCTGTAAAATGAAGTTAGCAGCAGCACTCACCTCATGAGGTTGTTTTGAGAATTAAGTGAAATGATGTTTGTAAAGTACTCAACACAGTGCTTGACATAACAACACAACATAAACTCTCAATCAATGATGATTTTAAATATAATATCAGAATAGCAAATACTACAGATAAAATAGTGTAGAGAAGTTATTTAAATAAATATATTAAAAAATAAATTATAGTTTGCAATAACTTCATAAGATTTCAGCATAGTTTTGTGATAAGTTAAGAAATGGCACTTAACACTGTAGAAAAGAGTTTGGAAATTTCTCAAAGAACTTAAAACAGAACTAATATTCAACCCAGCAATGCCATTATTGGATATTATCATATATCCAAAGAAAGAAAATCATTATACCAAAAAGACACATGTACTCACATGTTCACTACAGCACTATTCACACTAGCAAAGACATGGAATGAACCTAGGTGTCCATCAATGGTGGATTGGATGAAAAAAATCTGATACATATACTCCATGGAATACTACACAGCCATTAAAAAAGGAATGAAATCATGTCCTTTGCAGCAACATGGATGCAGCTGGAGGCCATTATCCTAAGTAAATCAATGCAAGAGCAGAAAACCAAATACCACACGTTCTCATTTATAAGTGAGAACTAAACATCGAGTACTCATAGTCATAGAGATGGCAACAGTAGACACTGGGGACTAATGGCAGAGAGGGCAGGAGAAGAGTAAAGGTTGAAAAACTACCTGTTGTGTACTATGCTCACTATCTGAGTGATAGGATCTTTCATATCCCAAACCTCAGCATCATGCAATATGCCCAGGTAACAAACCTGCATGTCCCCCCGAATCTAAAATAAAAGTTGAAAATAAAATAAAATACATACAATCTGCATCTTCCCAGAAAAAGGAAATGGCACTTAAAATTGAGGAATTTGACTTCTTGTTCTTCTCTCTTCCTCCAGTTCTGACAAAGGTGGGCAAAGTAGGGAAGCAAAGAGTGGGCAAGAGGCCACGACAGTCCAACCAAATGTAATTAACCCATAGTTAATTACACTTCAACTAATTTTTAATCATGATTTTTTTTTTTTTTTTTTTGAGATGGAGTCTCGCTCTGTCACCCAGGCTGGAGTGTAGCGACGCCATCTTAGCTCACTGCAAGCTCTGCCTCCCGGGTTAACGCCATTCTCCTGCCTCAGCCTCCTGAGTAGCTGGGACTACAGGTGCCCGCCACCATGCCTGGCAAAATTTTTTTTGTATTTTTAGTAGAGATGGGATTTCACCATCCCATCTGAACTGAGATAAATATGTCAGAAGGCAGATATCATTTGTCTAACTCTTGCATGATTCAAATATATGAATATTTTAGTCACAGATTTCACTATGATATTCAGGAAAGGACAACAAATGCCTGAGCTATCTTTTTAGCCAGGATGGTCTTGATCTCCTGACCTCTTGATCTGCCCGCCTCAGCCTCCCAAAGTGCTGGGATTACAGGCATGAGCCACCATGCCCGGCCCATAATTTTTAAAGTAATAAGCAACAGACATTTGTTTTCAATGTAATTCTAATGTAAAACATTCTCAAAGTAGGATTAAAAGAAATCAGATAAGACAAATCTATAAAGAGAAGACATAAAATTGTGCCTAATATGAACTGAGATAAATATGTCAGAAGGCAGATATCATTTGTCTAACTCTTGCATGATTCAAATATATGAATATTTTAGTCACAGATTTCACCATGATATTCAGGAAAGGACAACAAATGCCTGAGCTATCTTTTCAAAGAACCCTGAGATCTGCTGCTCTGTTCTGATAAATAATATTTGAGCAGAGGCCAACTAAAAAAACATGAATAAAGGGAAGATGACAGGAAAGCTTCAAGGAAAGATAAGAATTATAGGCAACAGGGAATAGAGCTTAAAAGCAGTGGGAGAGGAGACTTCTCATAAACTAGGGAATATCAGCTCACTGACATTGCAGGGTATGTGGAAATCAGGAATGAATTGATTTCTGGGAAACTCCAAGAGACTCTGCCTGCTCTCAATGTGAGAAAATAAAATGGCAACAAATAACTGACACTAATACAGTGTCCTGGAGACTACAAAATGTTAAGCAACAGGGGAGTATCTTGGTTAGAAGCAGAGATGTTTAAATGCAGGGAAACTAAATGACATCATTCTTATGTCAAGCAAAACATGTGTTTAAGATCACCAGTCACACCTACAAAATGCTTCTTTACAAAGGTCACCTTATTTATCACCTCGAATTTAGAAGGACCCAAGAACCTGCTATGGTTGGGATCATCAGAGTTTCTAAACCCCTGAATCCATCTTCCTATTTTTCTTGCCTTTCTCACTATGAAGCTTCCCTGAGCCATAAGATAACCACTCAGAAGCGCCAAGAATGCTGGTGACTCATTCATTAATCAGGCCAATGAGTTAATATAATGATTTGGTCAGTTCTTGAACATAATGTCACCTCTGCCACATAGCACCTGTGAAAACTACCTTCTCCTTTCATGTAGTATTATAATGAGGAAAAAAAAACTCAAGGAGCCATGCAAGGAAACACAAGAAGAACAGAAGTAGGAAATACAGGAGGAAAAGAAAGGGGTATTATAAGTTACCCAATATTGCCAGAATTATGTATACACTACCTCCCCCCAAAAATAAAATAGGTACTGCTGTCCATCTCTTTACCTACATGAATACAGACATTAAAGAGGTCATGTGACTTGGCCACACAACTCAAATATGTTGGAACCTAAAAATAAACTAAAACCTTCTGACTCCAAAGGCTACACTTGTTCTACTATACAATGGTAACATAAGTGTATATGAAGAAGAAAAAAATAAAGAAAATAAAACATTAGATTTAAATATGTAATCTTTGTACGTAGTGGAGAGGAAGTTCCTTCATATCAGTAGAGTACTTAAGCATGCGAAAGTGAAACTGAAGACTGCCCTTGTTGAATGATTATGCTATTCCACTCACTCTACAGCACTTAATCTTTGTTTCTTCTGTATACATTTGAATGACCATGAAATCTCATAGTATGCCTTTATCTCTAGTAAAGGTTTTCAATGCCCACCAAATCACAGGACCTGATTCTTTTCCTGCCAATAGGCTCTGCCTCCCTTCTTTGGGAAACTGAATGAACAATGTTAACAGGAACTGGGTTTAGTTGACTGGTCCAGGGTAGCAGTCCATTCTCCATCTTTAGCCTGTAGGGCTCTAATAAAACAAATCACATCAGAGCTGCCATTGAAAATATGGGAGGAGATTTTTCTCCACACAAAAAGGACATCATAGGAAGAACCCACTACTCAGGGAGCTTATTGGATTCAATGTTGTGGCTAAAATTCAAGTGTGGCTGCATAATTTTGAAATGACTAGTATTATGATATTCCAGGACAGTAGTGAGCACCTTATACTGCTCTTATTTTATGCTATAGTAAAGAAGATATGCCTAGGGAAGTACAAAAAGGACTCTTAGCCCCTTCAAATAAGGTAAAAGAACAGTGAAATTTCCCACAGTCAACTGAACTGCAGGCCAAGGAAAATGGGAGGAAATAAAATGAGTTCAAGTATGAAACCACCAAGAAACAACAACAGGGCTGACCCTTAAGGAAAAAAGAGTTTCGTGATGCAAAATCTTCTTCCAACAACTTGAGAGAAAGGACAAGCATATGGAACACAAGTGTACCACCAAGGAGCAGCTTGGATTGTTTTGATAGTGGTGACCATGATTTCACCACTTCACAACTTCTGTCCATCACCTTCATCCTTCAGTTTTCCCTAATTTTCTCAACAACGATTTCCACATTTCCTTCTTTTCTCTTTCTTATGTGTCAGTTTTCACCAAATACTGAGTAACTTCTTCCCAGACCTAAGGAGGAACCCGAATAAAAGAATTATTTTGTTGTATACACAGCCCATGTCACAATGACCTACTACTACTGAGGCTGTGACACATATTCCTTGCTCATATTTCCTAAATTACATTTCCTACTTATCCCCCATTCTCTCCAGACTATAAACTGCACAAAAATGCTGAAAGTTAAGAGTTCTAATATCCTTGGGAATGGTTATATATTTCCATCTTGCAGTGATTTCATATCCATGTCTCATGTTTAATAACATTTAAGAGTTTTACATGGTCTCTGATTATTTCCTGATTAACAGATTTTCCTTGATACATTTGGGTTTAAAGCCTTATACGTAAAACAGAATAAATGATGGCTTCTAAATACATATACGAGAAAAGATTAAATAGATAAGTAGATTGATTGATCATAGATCAGTGTAACTGGAATTAATTGGATAATATTTCCCCCCCTAAAGGAACTGAAGAGGAAGATGAAGGAGATGACTGTCTGTTGGGGTCTGTGGATGAGTTCTGGTGGTTTCCTCACATGTGGAGCCATATGCAGCCCCACCTCTTCCACAATGAGTCATCTTTGGTGGAGCAGATGATTCTCAACAAAAAATTTGCCTTAGTAAGTAACTCACTTTGTTGCATTGAAGTAGTGTACACTGATTGGAGAAATGAAAAGATTCTTACATTGTGGCATAGTTGCGCTTTTCAGTGGCTTTTCCATATGATCATTTGGAATATTTTGGTATTGCCGCCTTTCAGTATGTGGCTCTTGAGTTTGTATTGAGTGCTCACCACTATGCTTAATGTTTTGAAGGATCTAATTTGAGAGGGACCTCACAAAATACAAGATTTATTATGACATTATGGTCAGAGCACCTAAGACATGGCTCCTGTCCAGAAGGAGTTTCCTGCTGCACTGAGAAGGCAGAAATATGCATGTTAAACAATTCCCCAACAAAATGAAATACTTTTTCAAGACCTAATGACAAACCTTACAGCCACAAAACCCACAGTTCAAAGAAATAAGTATCACTGGGAGTAGCCCAAGATGGATTCTTCTGGAAATAAGATTTTAGATACGTCCTGAAATAAGAATAAATCTTCGGGATCAGGATTAATTGAAATGAAATGAGGCTGAGGGAAAAGAGCAGGTAGGAGACCATAATGACTGTATGAGGTAATAAAGACTCAATCTAAACAGTTAAAAGCATTGCAAACATATATGCTGTATGGATGGAACATTTGTTTGGCTGAAGCAAGGTACACCATGTAATACTGAAGGGTTTATATTCAGGACAGGGAAATTTATAGTAAAAGTTTAAATAAGCACATTATGAAGAAAAATGTGCTTGTGATCAGAGAGAGTACCGAGGTACACTTACATGGAATGGTTTTCTACACCAACTGTTAGAACTAAGAAGTTTCAGTTGGTTCTCACAGTACCTTACTCAAATATATACAAGACAAGGTTAGAATGTATACACTATATTTTTTTTCTTGAGGATATACAAGACCAAATACTTTATGGTGGCATCAGGGGCCCATATTTGTCTTTTAGCTTCAATCTACTCCCCCAAATAAACAAACAGCTTCAGGTGCACCTTTGCCACATATTGATATTTTGTCAAGAAAGCAAGAATAGTGCTCCTCCATGCTGATACTGTGAAAATGTTTTGATGGTATATGCAAACTGCTGTGAGAAGGAGAGTCATCTTTTTTCCTAAAAAAATAAACAAATAATAAGCAGCATGTAAAATTGGTAAAACGGCCCCAGAATTTGTAATAGAAAGTGCTAAAACTCATATCTCAAAACAGCAGACATTAATTCTGTCATTTTCAGAAATCTAGACTGTTGATATTGACAATGTTAATCACTAATAAATTATGTGGGGAAAAAATTACTTTGTGGTTTACTTCTAAATCTGTTGAGAAAAAGAGAAAGGGATTTGTGAGAGACGAAAATACGTAAATACACTAAAGTAAAGCACCAGTAAAAGATAAGATACTGAGAAGTGAGGAGTGAAATTGTTGTTGTTGTTGTTGCTGTTTTGACAGCTTTCCAAAAATAATGTACCAAAGCAGCTTTGATAAAAGACATGTCATTCACTGTTACATCTGCTGAAAACTAGAATAGTATCTAGAAATTACTTGAACGAATCAATGAATGCCAATATTATGTTTATGTTTAAAACATTTGCAGATATTTGGAAGTACATATCCTAAGAATATACTTAGGCTGGGTGCAGTGGCTCATGCCTGTAATCCCAGCACTTTGGGAGGCCGAGGTGGGCGGATCACGAGGTCAGGAGATCGAGACCATCCTGGCTAACATGGTGAAACCCTGTCTCTACTAAAAAATACAAACAATTAGCCAGGTGTGGTGGCGGGCGCCTGTAGTCCCAGCTACTCAGGAAGCTGAGGCAGGAGAATGGTATGAACCCAGGAGGTGGAGCTTGCAGTGAGCTGAGATTGCACCACTGCACTCCAGCCTGGGCGACACAGCCAGACTCCCTCTCAAAAAAAGAAAAAAAAAAAAGAATATACTTAATACATATGCTAGAACAGGCATGCACAGGAGTTACATGCATTTTTTAGAATTCCCAACTAAAAAGTATCATGTGTAAAAGAATAATTCAAAAACAATATCTGGTCATTCTTAACCACCTAAGTGTTAAGCAAAGCAGATTTCTTAGAAGCGTCATTCCTAACTACATGTTGGCAATTCAAATTATTGTTTTTGAAGCAGAAGAGAGTAGTTGTAATAGATCTTCAGAAATAAGACCAAATATATTATTTAGTGTTTAATCAAATCCAGGACAAGTAGAATTTATTTTGTTGCAAGAGGATAGATATGAAAAAAGACTGAATCCAGAACCAGTCCCTCCCCAGCCATAACAATATGAAAGAGCACATATAAATAAGGCATTTGGGAACAGCAATTAGCATATAACACTCAATAGATGGCAGCTGCTGTTTTTATCATTATATCTAGTATCACAAAATTGCCATCTTTAATTTTTGCCCAGGCTCCTGAGGTGTTTGGACTGACAGGTAAGAGGGACAAAAATCCTTAAGTTTAAAAGTTTACTTTGTATTGGGATGGCATTTGTTTAATGTGAATTTTACCCAATTTCTAAATATGTGTTAACTCTTTTACTTTCCATTAAGCATTAGGGTTACAAAACTGCATTGTTGCTGACTTTAAAGATATAATAAGAAAAGATCAAGGGTTTCCAATTTTAACATATTTTTATTATTTCTTTTAATTCTCAAATTAACCCGGAATTGTAGGTCTATTTATTTTCCCATTATAGATGAAGCAACTGAGAATCAGAGAAATGCAGTGACTTATTCATGATTATAAAACTCACTAGCAGTATAATTAAGACCAGAAATCTTAATGCTGCATAAATTGCAGTGTTAGGTCTTCTAATGTGGCATAAAGTGTGCCCCCTGCCGAGGCTTCCTCCCTAGCCTCCCAACCCAATTCACAGGTGTGAATCAAGATTTCTTTTCTGCTGGTAATCCAAGGGAATATCTGGTTATGCTGGTAATATAAAGGAAATGGAGAACTTGAGGTGGAACTCACAGGGCAACTTTTCCCTCGGATTCCCTGAAGTTCCCTAATATAGGCAGAGTCTCTAAAATGTTGGAGGGGGTCGAAGGGGTAGGGGAGACAAAAAACTAAATCTGAGGAAATTTCCACTTGACCAAATATCACTTCTCATGTGTAGTTACAGAATCCACTTTAATTCAATGAAAAGTACTCTGGAGAAAATTCTACTTCAACTCACTAGATGGAACAAAGCAAATGTTTAACCTGTGCTAATATGGCATTTCTAAATTGGATTATATCCTGCTCTTCTCCACCAGCTTGGAGGCTCTTGATTTTAAAATGAGTGTTGGTATTTCCCAATGAAGAAAGTGAAAAAACATGCAAAGAAGCAGTGGGCTGTCTTGGGAGCAAATAGGTGTTCAAACAAGAATGGAGGTCATGGATGCAATATTCAAATGGGTAATTGTGTTAGAGGACATTTAAAGTACCCTTCCAGCTAAGAGAATTTCCGAGACTGTGATCTAAAACTTTTGGGTTTCGGCCTTTGCTATCATCATTTACAGCCACATACCTGCTATTTTCATTGAGTTTTAACAAATACATCTTATCTATTATCCTTTTGCACAATGTGGACACATCTGACTCACAAACAAATTTGATGTCTATTTTAATTTGTCTTTGAAAGCTCTAACAGTTTATTATGAAAGGTCAAGTAAATCCTTTAAGCAAACTTGCATTTGATGATTACACCCATCAGGAAATGCAGCTTTAGAGGTTGAATGGAAAAAATTTTTAGTTACCAAATATAGGATAATTCAGGGGTTAAACTGCAATTTCAACAGGGGATTTTTTTTTGGAAAGGTACAAATTCTGAGACAAAGATTAAATGTATCATTAATAATGACCTACCACAAAATTTAAAATATCAACTGTACAGTGTGTAAAATAGAATAACATATCATTAGAAAGGTAAAATAGTATTCTATTTAAACCTCAAAAAAGTCTTCAATAGTATATACTCTCAATTGAAGAACTGTATCTAAATTTTGGAAAATGGTGGTGGTTAAATTTTTAATGATAAAATAGTTAATAGATATTTCTATCATAGAACTCTGCCAATATCAGATGATACTTAATGCTTTTATAGACAATACTATTAAAAGTAGTAGTAGTAGAACAATGTTCCTGATAACATAAAATCTTACTGAAGATTGAACTTCTAATTGTATCATCATCATTCTTTTAAATGGTGTCCTTTTTGCCTCTCTTTTCCAAGTGCAGCAGAACCTGTTAATTTACATTAGCTGGAATGTCTATTGTCAATTATAAAACTTTTTAGATTAGTGAGCATGTTAACTTTTCCAATATGGAAATAAAGATTATAGTATCAAAATGTAATTTAAAATATATTGAAAGACTTGCTGGCTTAAGGAATATATGACAATCTTTTAATTAGTTTGCTTGCCAGCTAGAGAATGAATGAATACTACCACTTTTATTTCAGTGATGCACTTTATAAAAAGGCATATGAGATTTTCCTTTTATTGACATTGAACACAAAGTATAATTCTAGGTGTCCTAATAGAGAATTCCAGTCGGGTTGCAAAGAGTCCACTCAGCTGGTAGGCCACTTTAGAGTAATTCAAGCAGCACAGTTTAGAAAGACATTGGCCATTGTTCAGAGCAAAATGACCAATATGATGAAGTCTATAATTTACTTCATAAAATGAATAGCTGAAGGAAATTCAAGAAGGCAAGAGGTAAAAGAGAAGACTAAGGGATATATTATCAGGGCTACTATTCAACTAAGAGTACTGGTATGGCCATGCCAGTTATTACAATATTGAAATGTGACAATACTTTACCCCTATCCTGCTACCACATCAGATTCTTCCCCAAGGTGTCCCAAATCTCCCCCATTACTCAGGAACTAAAGGGGCCTGGCCCAGAAAGAGTCTCCAGCACCGATCTCCAGCTGTCCAGCTGGCAGCAGTTCTGATTGGTCAGTGGCATGGCATGCTGGTTGGTAGATATTTTTCGTTATCATTCCAGAAGATAATCAGTCAGTCTTAAGATTTAGAAGAGACTAGAATCAGTATATTTATAAGGAAAAGTATGGAAGTCATATAGATTTAAGAAGTAGAGTTCTTCCAATCTAGATAAGTTATGTATAGAGAATGGTGCTTGACATCTAGTAGGTAGTAAATGTTTGCTAAATAAAAATAAAAGTAAACGTTTCTTCTAGCTCTTAAGATTCTATCATTACTGTATTAAAATGTAGGTTTTATTATTATACAGGTATGATGAGTCCAGTAGATCAGGAGATGACTGCCATTGAAAAGATCAGTTTGTTATTCCCAGTTACCAAGAGAGGGAGTGTGCCACAAGGATGCAGGGCCACAGGGGAAGCACCAGGGTCGCTCAGGAGGCAGAGGGAGCAGGGGGGAAAGGTGGGCAAGAGCCTTTACTGTGGTTTCTGCGGGAAAGGTAAGGCAAGACAGGGTAAGCAGGCTCAGGATTGGCGACTTTGAATAATTTCAGTATGCTCTGAGGTGTAAGAGCTGTCTTTAGTCATCTAATACTTGGATCTGGGGTGATTAGATCAAAGAGATAGTTGCTCAACATATGAGAGTCTGATAAAGGAAGCAGAGGAGGGTAGGAGCTCTGAATTGCTTGATTTACATTTGAGAGTGCTCTCAGGGTGGTGTTTGCTATCTCTTGGAATTGACTAGCCTGAGAACAGCAATCTCTCCAGAGTCAGCAAGGCCCAGATATCAAAGCATCAGAAATACAGAAAATAAAGAGGCATGATGCTTTCTCCCGGTTATGTATCTTGAAGCAATTCCACAGGTTTTCAAAGCCCCTCACCATCCCAGCTGTCATATTCATATAATTTCTAATTTGTCGTTCTTATATCCCCCAATCTGAACATTATTGTCCACTGATGTGGTGTTATCAAAGCAGAAAATGGTAAAATATTTTTTCTTTCATGTGCACTTTACTTCTATTAATGTAGCCAAAGATCACATTACATTTTTACACCATCATATCACACCTGTGTCTGCCCGACCCTCTGTCCATGAGCCATTTATTAAACCTTCAAGTATTTATTTTTATCCAGTTGATTTTTCAAACTAAATGCTAGCCTTGGAATTACAATTGTCCCTTTAATATTCCATATTTGTTATATGTTCAGTGTTTTAGTATATCAACCTCCTGCTAAAGACTGACTCTGTTATTTAAAATGCTTTATATCTTTCCTAGCTTTGTGTAATCCCTATATTTTACAAGTATGACTTTTGCATCTTCAAGTTATTAGTATTGTTGAACATATTAATATGGTTAGAGATTTGTGGTAGAGCAATACATATCCTTTAGCTGTGTTCCCTTGGTATATTTCTAGCAATTGTTTCACATCTATTTTTTCACCAGAATAGTTTAAAATCTGTTTTTCTAAATTGAAACATCATATCTAATTATTTTTAGAATTATATATTTTAAGTATCTTGAACTCCAAGATAACACTGTCATCTACTCCTAAGTTCTAGCACCTCCACATAGGTGGCAGAATCACAGAACATTAGAGAAGGAGTGTTTAGGATGAAGACAAGCAGGGGAAAATTGGATGTAAGTAGACATACTGGATTACTAATAAATTAACCAAAGAATAGGAAATAAAACCCAGCTTTAACTAAACCAGTGGAAGCGGGATCATAAAGAAGTGAGATGTGAAAAGTATTTCTGACATAGATTCAATAAGTTTTTAATCAGATGGATGATGAGGAAGCATAAGAGAATAACAGGTCAAAAATAACATTAGGGTTTAAGCCTCCCACTTTTCTATCTGTGTGTATCTCTTTAAACTTTTTGCAAAGGTGAACTGCTGCTTTTTCTTTAGAAGTTCTGTATTTCACCTACATGAGGATACCCCCTCTTACCCATATCTACAGTACTGCAAAATGTATTCTCATTTGGATATATCATTTGAACTTTTGAAAGTGGTTTTGATTGGAATTCTTTTCTTTGTAAATTCCTGTCCAGATTACCTTCTTTTCCATCCTATGGGAAGACTCCATACTCTCTAACAAGATAGACATTGTAGAAAGAATTCCTCAATTCCTTTCCCTTTTTCCTCTAACAGAAATACTAGATTTCATCTTCAACACATTTATCTGGTAACTTAAACGATTTCATAAAAAGAAAGATAAATTTAGCACATGTACTGCATGAAAATAGTGCCTTACTGTCCAAATTTATGTGGACACAAAATGAACTAACAGCCTTTATGAATTCTCCTAGAAACTCATACTAGTGGGCTGGAGTCAGATGTGGGTATGAGGGTGGGGGAGGTCTATTTCCAGATCCATTCCTGCTGCTCCCGAATTTTCACTGCTCTTTCCTTTTACGCCTTTCATTTACTTAAGATGGAGGGGGCACTTGCATTCTGAGAGGTGGTTATAAACATGGCAGAGATGGAAGTGATGGCAGAAGAAGTAAGAGTCAATTTCACATGAGTGCTAACCTTGGCTCCGCTTTGGCATTTTTGTGTCTCCCACTCCATGTTCCCATGCATTTAACAATTTCTTTCAGTTTTTTCTTTCTTTTGTACCAGCTCCTGCTCCTTTTCAAAATTTTCCATCTCTACTTCACTTCCAAATTTTCAGCCCACACCTAGATTATTGCAGCAGCCTCCAAACCAGCCTCCAAACTAGTCTCCCCAATTTCCCGTTTTTTTCCTTTAATTTTTGCTCAGATCAGGAAACGTGAAACTTGAAATTCTGTGACTCTGTTTCCGCTGCATGAAACAGAACCTTACGGTTCAGTGAGAAAGATTCTTGACTCTCTTAAGGAAATGTAGGAAGATAAATTGTTGAGCTCCAAAATATTTACTAGACATTGCGCTTAGGGCTTTCCATACATCCTCGGTTAATTCTCCCAACCACCTGTGAGGTTGCTTATTCTCGTATTGAAAATGAAGAAAGCAAGGCTTAGAGAGCTTATATAAATTTTCCAGTGAAAGCTGGAGAAAGGGTTTTATCCCAGGTCTGTCTAATTCCAAAGCCCATGTAACAACCATGGTTTGTAAAATTAACAAGTAGCCATGCCATTGATACTGTTATTGCTGTTACACAGATCTCATAATCAAAATGTTATTACTTCTTTAAGGAATTATATTTTTACACAAATTCAGAATACAATCTGACTTTTTACAATGTTTTTCTCCTAAAGAGCTGTCTATAGGATTTATGTAGTTTCTTGTGTTTGCGATCTCAGTGCTGCAAGCATTACTGTCCTGGTGGCTTTTATAAATACCAGAGAGTATACGGTGGTTATAACAAAAATCAATATCAACTTTTTATGCTTTCAGAAATATTAAACTTCACTTAAAATTAGTACTATGTAGACTTCAAGATTCCTAATCAACCTTGCATATTTTCAGGGAGATTAAATGTGTGTGCAAGTACTCTGAGAATTTGAGGCTGTCCTGGATTATTTATAGCTTTCTTACCTCTCAAAGACCCCAAAGGTCCACATAAACTTCAAACTCTGAGAAAGCTGAATTAAACCAAACTTTCAATTCCTCCATTATGAATCCAGATAATTTTCTTTTCAGTTATTTTGCTACAGCATAAAAAGTAAGGCTTCATACATTCATTTTTTTTACATTTCTATAAACCTTTTCTTGTGTTTACTTGAATACACCCCAGCAATTCAAAAATACCAACCTGGGCTGTGCAAAGTACAAGTGTTTACATGATTCTTTTGAGTATTCTCACAAAAGCGCATCCTTTAGTGCTATGTTTACTTATGAGACACTCAACAAAGATATGACAACACTTCAAAAATTCTGGAGGGAACTCTAAGAGAGGAAAACAACATGCTCAGTTAAATGAAAATGTACTTGAAATAAATGTTATAATTGTTAGGGAAGACTGGGAGAAAATCACTCTCCCCCAAATATTTCTTTTCTTAAAGGTTACAAGTGAAAATGAAAATTAAAGCCAAGTATGCTACCTTTTATAGCCCTTTTTCAGTATTGGTACTACATTTTTAGCTTAACTTTTGTTACTGGAATTTCTTACTACGTTTGGCTTACAAAATGTCATTCCATTTCTTGAAATAATTTAGCTGCTAACTTGGGATAATACTTAAAGAGGAATATGTGGTGTTAAGAAGGGGTTTTTGCTTATGTTATTTCTACAGCTCTATCAAATTTATGGTACACCAGAGGTATTCCTTCCCTCCCACTTTATATGTAATATCTAATATGTATAATAGAAGAAATGTATATTGTTTAGTAAGACTTTGTTTTTAGACATGATTGATAATGACAATGTATCTTCTTTGAGGAATGTCTGCTCTGAAATAAGCACTCTGAATTGTTTGAGAATGGAAGTAATGGTGAGAGGAGTCTTAGTTTACCTTGGTTTTTTTGTTTTGCTTGTTTTTGTTTCCCCCAAATAAAGAATACTGTTAACTAAATAAAAGAAAATGAAATGGCATTTGACCAATAACTTTGTTTATATCCTTCATGCTGGACAACTCTGTGAGATCATTAGTTTTATTACCCTTACTTGGCAAATGAGGGAATTGAGGCACGGTGAATTTGCATAACCTGCTAGGGTCCTGGGACCAATGAAGAGAAGCACTGAGATTGAGCCGGGGACTCAAATCTGTGTTCTCCTAAATCTGTATTCTCTTCATGATAGTATCCTACTCTCTATCCCTAGGATTCCTGGTACAAGGAAAATTTCATTGTCATGGGTTTGGCTATTTTGAGATATTGAAAGAATAAGACTCTTTTCTTACTGTATACTAAATTAAACACCATACACTCATCTCTTTTCCGGAGATGAGTAACTCCAGAGTGATAAGGTGACACTTCTGTTTTATAAGTTGCTATAATGCCATTCAGTTTTACAAGATCTCATTATTAACACCTTTAACACTTTTATCCAAAGACTTTTGTTACTTTTATTTTATAGCCATATTTTTTGCTATCTTGTGAGACAAAGAATATCTCCTTCCTCAGGTTTCTGGATCCATAGGAATATCACTACCCAGAGAGACTCACCTAAACCTCAAGTTCCAGATTTTTTTATGAGGGTTTCATTATATAGGCATGTTTGATTGTATTATTGGCCACATGATTGAACTCAATTTCCAACTCCTCTCGCCTACCCTAAGATCAGGCTGATATCACCTTGCTCAAAGCTCTCATTCTCTAATTACATGGTGGGACTTCCTGGCATGACTAACCTTCATCCTGAGTCATCTTGTTAGCATAAACTCAAATATAATTTCAGGGTATCACCATAAATAACAAAGACATTTCTATCACTCAGGAAATTCCACAGAGTTAGGAGTTATCTCCCAGGAATCAGGGATAAGGAAGACCAGACAAATTCTTTATTAATACAACAGCTGCCAACAGGGGATGATTCTTGAACCCTTAAAACAAATCTACTAAAAACAACATTGTCATCACAGAAATTTTTTTCACATACCACCCAGCAAACCAAAATTTATATTATAAATCAAGGAGCACCATGTAAGAAAACTAGAGAAATAGTTAGTGGTCAAATCTATAAATATTAACCAAATTTATGTAACTGTGTCTATCATATTTTAGGAGATTATTCCATCCTTAAGTATGTAGAAAGAAAATTGTATATGGGAGTTTAAGTTTGTTCATGGATTAAAAATAGTACATTCGTATTTAGCATCTGAATATAAAATCATTTCTAAAACCACAAAGATTATGTCAAAGAAACACAGAATTATAAACCTGGACTTTAGTGACTACTTGTACAACCCCTTTATTTTACAATTTTTTAGAAAATGAAAAATCAGATTCCTGTGCTTAAGGTAATTAATTCTTTCAAGATTTTTCATTTCAAACCATACCAGAAATATTATCATTTATCACAGGAACATAGTCTAACATTTAATAATCTTTGCATGTAGTACCAAATCTAAATTCCCTAATCTAATGATCCTGACTTGCCTTATTTTGTTGTAGGCTAAGAAGACAGTCAGCTTCCTTTGAATAGCAACTTTACATATATTGGGCCACTCTGCCAACATCCATACCATTTCTTACTTTCTTCCAGTGATTGCGGCTACTACAGGACTCCTTCCACAGGTGCCAGAGGTTCCACAGGTTCTTATAAGCTGAATTGTGGTGTAGCCCATCAGTGTCACCTTAGGAAAACAAATCATCATTAGAAGCTTGAAAATGCTTCACAAATTCAAATAATTATATAATTTTGACTATAATCATCCTGTTGTGCTATCAAATAGTACATATTATTCATGCTTTCTAATTATATTTTGTGCTCATTAATCATGCCCACCTCCCCTGCAACATCTACTATCCTACCCAGTTTCTGGTAGCCATCCTTCGACTCTCTATCTCCACGTGTTCAATTGTTTCGAGTTTTATATATCACAAATAAGTGAGAACATGTGATGTTTGTCTTTCTGTGTCTTGGTTATTTCACTTAACATAATGACCTCCACTTCCATCTATATTGTTGCAGGTAACTGAATCCCATTCTTTTTTATGGCTGAATAGTACACCACTGTGTACTATTATACTGTGTGTATGTATGTGTATATATATATATATATATACACATATATATATATATATACACCTCATAATATACCTCACTTTCTTTATCTATTCATCTGTTAATATACACTGGTTGCTTCCAAATCCTGGCTATTGTAAACAGTGCTGCAACGAACATGAGAGTGCAGATATCTCTTTGATACACTGATTTCCTTTCTTTTGGGTATATACTCAGCAGTGGGATTGCTGGATCATATGGTAGTTCTAATTTTAGTTTTTTGAGAAACCTCCAAACTGTTCTCCATAGTGGTTGTACTAATTTACATCCCCACCAACAGCGTATAACGGTTTTCTTTTCTCTACATCTCTCCAGCATTTGTTGTTGCCTGTCTTTTTGGAGAAAAGCCATTTTAACTGGGGTGAGATGACATCTCATTATAGTTTTGATTTGCATTTCTCTGATGATCAGTGATGTTGAGCACCTTTTCATATGCCTGTTTGCCATTTGTATGTATTCTTTTGAGAAATGTCTATTCAAGCCCTTTGTCCATTAGTTATTCAGATTACGAGATTTTTTACTATAGAGTTGTTTGAGTTTCTTATATATTCTGGTTATTAATCTCTTGTCAGATGGGGAGTTTGCAAATATTTTCTCCCATTCTGTGGGTTGTCTCTTCACTTTGTTGAATGTTTTGTTTGCTGTGTAGAAGCATTTTAACTCGATGTGATCCCATCTGTCCATTTTTTGTTGGTTGCCTGTGCTTGTGGGGTATTACCCAAGACATTTTTGCCAAGACCAATGTCTTGGAGAGTTTCCCCCATGTTTTCTTATAGTAGTTTCATAGTTTGAGGTCTTATGTTTAAGTCTTTAATATATTGGTTTGATTTTTGTATATGGTGATAGACAGGGGTTCAGCTTAATTTTTCTGCATATGGAAATCTAGTTTTTCAAGCACCATTTGTTGAAGAGATTGTCCTTTCTCCAATGTATGTTCTTGGCACCTTTGTCAAAAATGAGTTCACTGTAGGAGTATTAATTTGTTGCTGGGTTCTTTGTTCTATTCCATTGGTCTATGTATCTGCCTATATGCCAGTAGCATGCTGTTTTGGTTACCATAACTCCTTAGTATAACGTGAAATCAGGTAATGTGATTCTTCCAATTTTGTTCTTTTTGTTCAGGATAGCTTTGGCTATTCTGGATCTTCTGTGGTTCCATATAAATTTTTGGATTATATTGTATATTTTGTGAAAAATATCATTGGCATTTTGATAAAGATTTCATTGAATCTGTAGATTGCTTTGTTTAGTATGGACATTTTAACAATATTGATTCTTCTCATCCATGAACATAGAATATCTTTTTATTTTTTTGGTGTACTCTTTAATGTCTTTCATCAGTGTTTTATAGTTTTCATTGTAGAGATCTTTCACTTTTTGGTTAATTCCTAGGTAGTTAATTTTATTTGTGGCTACTATAAATGAGATTACATTTTGACTTGTTTTTTACATTGTTCACCATTGGCATATAGAAATGTTACTGGCTTTTGTATGTTGATCTTGTATCTTGAATTTTACTGAATTTGTTTATCAGTTCTAATAGTTTTTTGGTGGAGTCTTTAGGTTTTTCCAAATATAAGATTATATCATTTGGAAACAAGGATAATTTAACTGTTTCTTTTCCAGCTTGAATGCCCTTCATTTCTTTCTCTTTTCTGATTGCTCTAGCTACGACTTCCAGTGCTATGTTGAATAACAGTGGTGACAGTGGGCATCCTTGTTGTCTTCCAGATCTTAGAGGAAAGCCTTTCAGTTTTTCCCAATTCAGTATGACACCAGCTTTGGGTCTGTCATAGATGGATTTTATTATGGTGAGGTATGTACCTTCTATACCAAGTTTGTTGAGGGTTTTTTATCATGAAGGGATGTTCAATTTTATCAAATGCTTTTTCAGCATGAATTGAAATGATTGTATGATTTTTGTCCTTCATTCTGTTGATATGATGTATCATATTGATTGATTTGTGTATATTGAACCATCCTCACATCCCAAGGACAAGTCTCACTTGGTCATGATAAACGATCTTTTTAATGTATTGTTGGATTTGCATTGTTAGAATTTTATTGAGAATTTTTGCATCAGGATTCATCACAGATGTTGGCCTGTAGTTTTCTTTTTTTGATGTGTCTTTATCTGGTTTCGGTATCAGGATAATACTGGCCTCATAGAATGAGCTTAGAAGTATTCCCTCCTCCTCTATATTTTGGAATAGTTTCAGTAGGATTGCTGTTAGTTCTTCTTTAAATGTTTGGTAGAAATCAGCAGTGTAGCCATCAAGTCCTAGGTGTTTCTTTACTGGGAGACGTTTTATTATGTCTTCAATCTTATTACTTATTATTGGTCTTTTCAAGTTTTGGATTTCTTCATGGTTCAATTTTGGTAGGTTGTATGTGCCAAGGAATTTATTCATTTCCTGTAAATTTTCCAACTTGTTGGCATATAGTTGCTGATAGTAGCCACTACTGATCCTTTGAATTTCGGCAGTATCAGTTGTAGTGTTTCCTTTTTCATATCTGATTTTATTTATTTGGGTCCTCATCCTTTTTTTTCTTTGTTAATCTGGCTAATGGTTTGCTGATTTTGTTTATCTTAGAAAAATCCTTTTTGTTTCATTGACTTTTTTGTATTGTTTTCTTCATTTCAATTTCGTTTACTTCTGCTTTGATCTTTATTATTTCTTTTCTCCTATTATTTTTGGGTTCAGTTTGCACTTGCTTTTCTAGTTCTTTAAGATGCATTGTTAGATTATTTATTTGAAGGTTTTTTCTTTTTTGATGTAGGCACTTACAGCTATAAACTTTCCTCTTAGTGCTGTTTTTGCTGTATCCCATAGGTTTTGGTATGTTATGTTTCCATTATCATTTCTTTTCCAGAAAGTTTTTCAATTTCCATCTTAATTTTTTCATTGACCCACTGATCATTCAAGAGCATATTGTTTAATTTCCATTGAGTTTGTATAGTTTCCAAAATTCCTCTTGTTGATTTCTAGTTTTATTCCATTGTTGTCAGAGAAGACGTTTGATATTGTTTAGATTTGTGTAAATGTTTTAACACTTGTTTTATGACCTAACATATGGTCTATCCTTGAAAATGATCCATGTGCTGAGAAAAAGAATGTGTATTCTGTAGCCTTTGGTTGAAATGTTCCATAAATATATATTAGATTCATTTGTTGTATAGTGCTGATTAAGTCCAATATTTTTTGTTGAGTTCCTGTCTGGGACATCTGTCCAATGCTGAAAGTGGAGTGTTGAAATCTCCAGCTATTATTGTACTGGGGTCTATCTCTCTCTTTAGCTCTAATAATATTTTTTTATATAGCTGTGTGCTCCAGAGTTGGGTGCATATATATTTTAAATTGTTATATACTATTACGGGGTTGACTCCTTTATCATTATATAGTGACCTTCTTTGTCTCTTCTCACAGTGTTTGTTTTCAAATCTATTTTGTTTGATATAAGGATAACTACTCCTGTTCATTTTTTGTTTCAATTGGCATGGAATATCTTTTCACATCCCTTTATTTTCAGTCTATGTGTATCTTTATAAGTGAAGTGTGTTTCTTGTGGGCAACAGATCATAGAGTCTTGTATTTTCATCCATTTGGCCACTCTGTGTCTTTTGATCAGAGAGTTTAGTTCACTTATATTTAATGTGATTATTTACGTGTAGAAACTTACTCCTGCCACTTTGTTATTTGTTTTCTGGTTGTTTTGGGGTCGTCTCTCTTTTCTTTTCTTCCTTCCTGTCTTCCTTTCAGTGAAGATAATTTTCTCTTGTGCTTTAACTTCTTGCTTGTTTCTGTTGTGTTTTTTGATTTGAGGCTATCATGAGACTAGTAAATACTGTCTTGTAACTCATTATTTTAAACTGAAGACAACTTAACACTGATTGCATAAACACAGAAAGAAAACTCTACACTTTAATTTCATCAACTCACTTTTTAATTTTTTGTTGTTCCTTATGTCTTGTTGTACTGTTTATATCTTGAAAAGTTTTTGTAGTTATTACTTTTGATTGGTTCATCATTTAGTCTTTCTACTTAAGATAAGAGAAGTTTACACACCACCATTACAATGTTATCATAGTCTGTGTTTCTCTGTGTGCCTACTATTACCAGTGTACCAGTATTTTTACCTTCAGACAATTTCTTCTTGCTCATTAATATCATTTTCTTTCAGATTGAAAAACTCCCTTTAGCATTTCTTATAAGACAGGTCTGGTGTTGATGAAATTCCTCAGCTTTTGTTTGTCTGGGAAAGTCTTTATTTCTCCTTCATGCTTGAAGAATATTTCCACCAGATATACTATTCTAGCATAAAAGTTCTTTTCCTTCAGCACTTTAAACATGTCTTGCCACCCTCTCCTGGCCTGTCAGGCTTCCACTGAAAAGTCTGCTTTCAGATGTATTGGAGGTCCATTGAATGTTATTTGTTACTTTTCTCTTGCTGCATTTAGGATTCTGTCTTTGTCTTTGACTCTTGGGAGTTTGATTATTAGATGCCTTGAGTTAGTCTTCTTTGAGTTAATCTGCTTGGTGCTCCATAACCTTCTTGTACTCGAATGTTGATCTCTTTCTCCAGGTTTGGGAGGTTTTCTGTTATTCCTTTGAATAAACTTTTTACCCTTATCTGTTTCTCTACTTCTTCTTTAAAACCAATATCTCTGAGATTTGCCCTTTGGAGGCTATTTTCTAGATCTTATAGGTGTGCTATGTTGTTTTGGTTTGGTTTGGTTTGGTTTGGTTTGGTTTTCTTTTGTCTCTTATGATTGTGTATTTTCAAATAGGCTGTCTTCAAGTTCACTGATTCTTTCTTCTGCTTGATCAATTCTGCTATTAAGTGACTCTGATGCATTCTTCAGTATGTCAATTGCAATTTTCAACTCTAGAATTTCTGCTTGATTCTTTCTCATTATTTCAATCTCTTTGTAAAATTAATCTGATAGAATTCTGAATTCCTTATCTCTGTTAATCTTGAATTTCTTTGAGTTTCCTCAAAATGGCCATTTTGAATTCTCTGTCTGAAAGGTCACACATCCTTATTTCTCCAGTATTGGTCTCTGATGCCTTATTTAGTTCATTTGGTGAGGTCATTTTCCTGGATCATCTTGATGCTTGTAGATGTTCATCTGTGTCTGGGCATAGAATAGTTAGGTATTTACTATAGACTTTGCAGTCTGGGCTTGTTTGTGCTTGTCCTTGGGAAGGCTTTTCAGATATTTGAAGCTGCTTGGTTCCCAAGCCCAATATCACTGTGGTCCTTGCAGACTCGTAGAGGTACCATCTTGGTGGTCTTGGAGAAGATCTAGAAGAAGGCTCTGGATTAATAGGCAGAGATTCTTGTTCATTTCCCTTAGTTTCTCCCAAACAAACAGAGTCTCTTTCTCTGTGCTGAGCTGCCTGGAACTGGGATTATGATGATGCAAACACCCCTATGGCCACTATAACTGGGACTGCACTGGGTCAGGCCTAAAGACTCAGTCAGCACAGCACTGAGTCTTGTCCAAGGCCCACTATAACTACTACCTGGCTACCACCTATGTTCACTCAAGGCCCTAGGCCACTACAATCAGCAGGTGGCAAAGCCAGCCAAGTTTGTGTCCTTCCCTTCAGAGCGGCAAGTTCCTCCAGGCCCCAGGCAGGTCCAGAGATGCTGTCTGGGAGCCAAGGATTAGAGTGAAAAACATTAGAAATTTGCCTGACATTCTGTTCTACTATGGCTAAGCTAGTACTAAAACCATACTATAAAGTACTTCCTGCTCTTCCTTCCCCTTTCCACAGGGAGAAGAGCCTCTCCCTCTGAGCACCACCACCAGCAGCCCTTGGCAGGGTTCTGTCAGGCCACCGGCAATTTTCACTTAAGCCCAAGGGTTCTTCTGTCAGCTTGTGGTGAATGCTGCCTGGCCTGGGATTCACCCTCTGCACAGTGGGTTCCCCTCTGACCCACAGAAGGTCCGGAAATGCTGTTCAAGAGCCTAGGCCTGGACTCAGAGACCCCAAGAGCCTGCTTGTTGCTCTACCCCACTGTGGCCAAGCTGGTACATAAGGTGCAAAACAAAGTCCCCTTTACTTTTCCCTATGCTTTTCTCAAGCAGGAGTCTTTCACCATAGTCACCACTGCTGGGAATGTGCTGGGTCACACATGTAGTAAGTGCGTCCCAAGTGCCCAAGGCTCACAGCATACTCCCTGGCTATCACTGATGGTTATTCAGGGTCCGAGGGCTCTTTAATCAGCAGGTGATAAATCCTTCCAAGACTGGATCTTTCTCTTCAAGACAATGGGTTCCCTTTTGTCCTAGAGTATGTCAAGAAATATTCTCTCCAGGAGCTAGGGCCTGGAATGGGGGCCTCATGACTGCCTGGTGCCCTCTCCTACTGTAGCTGAGCCGGTATCCAAGATGCAAGACAACGTCCTCTTTACTCTTTGCTCTCCTCGCCTTAAACAGAAGGAAGGACGCACTTTCATTGCTGTGAGTTGCACTTCCTGGGATTGGGGGAGGAGTGGCGCAAGCAATCCTTTAGCTGCTCTGGCTAGTGTCTCCCTAGGTCACATGCCACCCTAGTCCACTGGCTCTAATCCCAATCCAGCACTAGGAGTTGCCTAGGAATTGAAGTCCTTGTGTGCTAGACTGTCTTTCAAGTTTACCAAGGACCTTAGAGCATGTTGGCCCATGGTGGCAAGACTTGACAAGAAACTCAAGCTCTAACTGATGACATGCATAACTTCCCCTTGGCTAAGTCTGGTCCAAATGATCCCTCCATGTGTGAGCAAAGCCTGAGCAGAGCATGGATTTGCTCTCTGCTATGACAGGGTAGTACTGAGTTCAATGTAAAGTCCCCCTGTCACTGTGCTCTCCCTCCCCCACATAAATAGACCCTCCGCACTTCATGGCCACTGCCGGGAGATAGGGGAAAGGTGGCATTGGCGATTCAAGACTGTCTCTCCAACCCTCCTCAATGCCATTTTCATTAACTTTTATGAAGATAAAACGAGGTACTGCGATTGCTTACCTGATTTTTTGTTCTTCTGATGGTGCTTTTCTGTATGCAGATAGTTGTTAAAATTTGGCCTTCCTGCAGGGGGTACAAATGGTATAGGGTTCTATTCTGCCATTTTGCTCTGCCCTCATAATTTTTAACTGCAGTCTAAAAATTGCTTTCAAGTATTATTTACATAGATATTAAAATTTCCCTGATAGTTACCATATGTTTATTCTTCAGACGAACAGGCAGTGTAATGAAGATAATTGAGAAAGTGAAAATTGGAATGAGAAGGAGGTAGTCAGAATCAGATCATACTTTTTCACTAGTATTTGTTGAGTACTTGCCATTGGCAAGACACTGAGTATATCGCAGTGGATAAAATGGAACCTAAATTTCATGAACCTTATTGTTTAATGAAAAAGAGAGATATTACATAAATGTCTTTTCTATGCAAAAAAATACATGCTTACAAACTGTGCTGTGTACTATGAAAAACCAAGGAAAGCTACTAAGAGAAGTTTTAATGTCGACTTCATTTAGATTGGCACTTGTCAGTAAAGTCTTCTCCAAAGATATGACAGAATAAATTACCTTCAGATTTATCCAGGTGAAGATTTGGAGTAGAAACATTTCAGGGGAAGAAACCACATATAGGAAGATGCTGAGGTAGAAAAGTGCTTGGTGAGTTTCAGGGAAAGTTTCATGTGACTAAAATTCAGTGAAGGATGGAGGGTGGCACAAGATAAGGCTAGACAAAGAAGCAAGGATCATATGCAGCGCTTGCGATCATGCTAAGAATTTTGTAATTTAAGTGGAAAGGGAAATCAGGGAAAGATTTTGAGTAGACAGTCACATAATCATATTTGTATCTTTTAAATATTACTTTGCAGGGAATGTATTGGAAGGAAGCAAGAGAGGGAATGCGATTCTATGCCAAAAGGCAATGGGATAAGATGGTAGATTCGACTAGGGTGATGATAATGATAGAATTGAAGAAAAGTAGCTAAATTTAAGATATATACCAGAGATAGTACTGATAGGACATGACAGTGGACTAAATTTAGAAAAGAGGAAAGAGGAGGTGTCAAAACTATCTATCTTTCAACACAGCAACTTGTTGGTTGATGGTGTCATTTAATGACATGGAGAAACCCTGCAGAAAGAGAATATCTGGTAGGGCTGAGATGTGGAAATCATGAGTTCAACTATTAAGACTATTAATTCCACTTGTGATCCAAATACTTCATTTACGTTTTATAGTTACATAGCCAGATTCCTCAGTGTTTTTGAACCATGTCCTCCACTAGAAAAATCTTAACATAGATTTCAGAGTTCCTAGATCTAAGATGCTACTTTCAATCAAGGATCAATGAAAAGACTAATTAGAATTAACTTTTAAGGTAGACTTTTTGCCACAGATTAAAAAATAATATGTGCTTAATCTCAAATCGAACAATCCAGAGGAGAGTAATCAGCCAAAAATTTAGCATGATGGCTAAAGCTTTTAAAACCTGATAGTCTGCCTTCCGGATCACACTACCTGCAATCTTAACCCAAACTTTTCTATACAATAACGTTTCAGGTGTTCTCTCTGGTGATGAATGCAAATTTGGGAGCAAATTTATGTTGCCTTCTTCTAAAATGAATTTAAAAGCAGCCCCCTACTAACTGAATGACTCACAAGCTGGAACTACTCGGCAGTGGCTGAGCATATTTGGAGGAATCAGAAGAGAAGCAGGCTTAGGAAGGGGTAGTGGGGTAGAAGTCAGAGTTCACCACAGGAGTCTCATGAGAAAGAATCCCAAAATCTACAGTGAAAGTAGAAAATACAGTCTGTCTCTTTTAGTGGAAAATAAGTGGCCCAGTAGTTTCATAATTTCCACATTATACTTGAGTGGTAGGATCATAGCATCTAAAAACAATAGAGGCAGGGTAGTAATGACAACAATAATTTTAAAAATCCATTAAATGCATATCATGTTTCCAGAACTATACTATCTTCCAAAATTACCTCTGAACCCCTTTGAGGTAATGCCCTTATGACTAGCATTTTAGAGAACAGGAAACAAGGCTTAGAGCTCATAGGTCATTTGCCAAAAGCCATGCAGTTGGTGAATGAGAGCATGAACAGCCAGATACGTCTGATTCCAGAAGCGATGTTTTCTGCTACTATGCCACACTGCACCAGCACACAAATAAAAGATGAAACTAAAAAACCCATTTAGTCAGGTGTGCTGGTGTGCATTTGTAGTCCTAACTACTGCAGGAGGATTGCTTGAGCCCAGGAGGTCGAGGATGCAGTAAGCTATGATCACCACCACTGTACACCAGCCTGGGAAACAGTGAGATCCCGTCTCAATAAATTAACTAATTAATTAAAAATTGCAGTAGTTTTTAGTGTTAAAGCTAGGAAAAAAAAGTAAAAACTGTATATACATTGGTTGCCAAATATTTTTAAATCCAAAATAAGGGAAATGTCTCTGCTATGCTGGGCCATCCTTTCATGCCATGTGGGTTCTGAAGACACAGCTGACTACTCGCCGTTATTGAAAACTACCTTGAGCTTTTGAACAGCATAATTTCTTACAAATTTGCAGATGCTTGAATTTTATAACATAGCTCTTGTCATTGTGTATTTCTTCCCACACTCTTCAAAAAGTTGTTAACCTCCTCAGCACCACATAACATTTCCATGTAACAAACCTGCACATGCACCCCTGTATCTAAAAGTTGAAATTTAAAATAAAAGAATACTATTTAACAACCACCAGAAATAATAAAGTTACTTCAGCACATTTTTTAAAGTTGTTAACCTATAATTCATTTTTTAATGTTTGTGATATGAATTCATTTTTCTTCATCTGGTCTTTATCACCATACCCCTAGCCTTCAATCACTTTAGTTGAGCACAAATTATGTGTTGATAAGGGATGTCTAGTGGGAAAAAATTAGTTTAGTTTGAGTTTTTAAAAACCAGTACGAAAAAAGCAATGAGATATTTCAATTCAATTTTTAGTGGAGTTCTAAATATGATGGTTATGTAGTTATGGTAATTTCTGCAAATGATGCAAATAAAATGAAGAATATGAAACTTTACCTCTCACCCTTCAGAAACACAGGAATGGTCCACTCAACCTCCAATACCACCCATCCTCTTTCTCACAGTAGCAAGATAGTGGCTCCCGTTTTTGGCATCCTCAACTACAGCTGACGGAACTGAGTTTTGAACAATAAACAGAGTTTACGAGATAAGAAAAGGGCATTCCAATTGAGGAAGACAGTGTGTACAGTATACAGCAATGACATGAAGGAAATCATCAGAAATTGGGGCGATGAGTGCTGATAGAAGATGAGGCTATATAGGTAGGTTGGGACCAAATTTTGAGGGCCTTTTATGCTGTATCAAGGAATTTGAACAAGTATTTAGGTAATGGCAAACCACTGGCAAGCTGTTTTCTTTCTGCATTCAGGCACTTCATATACTTTCTTCCCCTCCTGTTCTTATTTAGGTTTAAAAACAAAGCTAACCATACCTCTAACTTTTTCCATATCAGTTGGCTGCATATTTCTGCAATTTAAACCATTTAGCAGCCTGATACTATGATTCTGTGTATGTGAAACTGTTATTTGGCATGAAGACAGTCATTAATTTAAAAGAACCTATTTGAGTGGAATTTTTGAAGATTTTTTCCAAGCAATTGAAAAATATAAACAGAAAAATAAAAAATAACTTTGGAGAAAAAAATACCTGTCAACTACTGAAGCCATGGGTGTTCTATTTCTAAAAGACACGTTTCATTTTGTATTACTGTGTAATTTTCCTCTATGCCTTTTTTTTTTTAACTGGAGTCATTTTATGTACAAGAGCTTGACTTCAAATCAACTAAGTTCCCAGAATATTTGGCTGTTTCAGTACCTTCAACTTTCACTATAAGGGCTTCTACTTCAAAAAAAATTACTCTGTTGAATTTTACCACATTATCCAATCAAAAGTGTGTGCTTCTCCTAAGGCAGGGAACGTTGTTACTGCTGGCCCACATGCTGAAAGGACAACAGAAATGTGGAAAACTTGGTAGAAACTGTAGAGCAGACAAAATAAAATCTTAACAGCAGCCTAATGAACTTGGAAGGTGTTCTGTTCCTCTAATAAACATTGGTTTTATTTTGCGGGAAGTGCTTAGTTTTGTTTGTAATAAGTGTCTAACATTTAACTTGTTGACGTATGGGCAATAGGAAAACAGGTGGCTACGACAAGGATGTGCAAAATAGAGGCTCTTTCAAATTATTCATTAAAATCACTAGATCTGTCTCACCACCCCTCAAACACAGATGCATCAACATAAGGACTGGTGAAATGGCTAACAGGCTTCATGACGTCTAGAGGTGTTAATACTTATATCACTTTAATTTTACCACACAATTAAGTAATGATGCATTTAAATATATATATTTACAGTACATTTGAAAATCTTACTGTAAAAATAGGATCAAGATAAATCTTTACACGCTCCAATTAACATTTGCTTGGTCTTAGGAGCACGGCATTCCAACGGACATGGGCTACGCTGTGGCCCCTCACCATTCGGGCGTCTACCCTGTACATGTTCAGCTTTATGAGGCCTGGAAGAAGGTCTGGAATATTAAAATCACCAGCACTGAAGAATATCCACATCTGAAGCCAGCTAGATACCGGAGGGGTTTTATCCACAAAAACATCATGGTGAGCTTCCTCCAGTATGCATAGGGTACAACTAATTCTGCAAGATTTCATTCCTCACTTGAAGAAAGAAAAACACAAATGTTAGCAGCATAAATGTAGGAAAAGCTCCATGCTGCAGGAAGCATATTTGTCATATCTAAGCAGAAAATGTTTTAATTAAAATCACTTCTTTTCAATTCTTCAAATATAACTGAAAAAGGTTTTGTTACTGACATTACCACTGGTAAGCAGGCACTGATGTTAAAATACTAAAAAAAAATTACATTTAACTTGCAGATAATTTTTAGTAGACATCACTTCTTCAAAATGTTATTCAGTATGAAAAACTAACACCAACTCTGTCTATATTAACCATGCTGCTCTTTGACAAGCCAGTCAAACTGTGTTCTTCTATTTACCATGCCAGGCTAAAAAAGAACTCAACCATTTGCAGCCAGAAGCCACATGTGAAGCCCTGCATAATCATTAACATATAATAATATAGAGTAAAAATGACAGGTGATGCTAATTAAATCATTTGCATACACCATCTAATTCTATCCTGGGCTTCTCTGTTTTGTTTTTTACAATTTCAGCAAATGTATATTGTCAAAATATGCTACTACCTCCCAAAGTAAGCAATTAAATCCTAATTTATTCCCAAATCAGAAAATCCTAAGAAAGTCCTGGTAAAGCTAGGAATGGGCCTCCTAATTTAGAATCACACACTGGGAAGAAACACCACAGAAGAACACTATGTGATGAGCCACCGTAACACTCTGTTGAACTGATATGTCTGAAGAGATGTTTACCCTTTAGAATTAGGTTATAACTGACTTCTTTTCAGAGAGTTTTTCAATGTCTGCAAAAATTACAGAGTGGATAGACATATAGCTTAGATCATCTCCCATCTTGACTTTTCCCTCAATAAAAACTGTTGTAAATGCTAGACGGGGACATAATGGCCACATTTTATCCCAATCTGCCCTTCCTCTGTACTGAAAATGAACCTACTGTGGCTCAAGCTGCCAGAATTCTGACCAGAGGGAGTTTAGAAGACCTGGGATATATTTTTTCATTTCTCCTGAAAACACATTTTTATCTGTATTATAAATGCATGAATCATGCAGGTAATCAAGGCTCTAACAGATTTCCTGTTTTGATGGAACTGTCCCTGTGGATCTGCTTTTGCAGCAATCTGTGGAAACCTATATTTGGCTTGTGGGCTCTTGGATGAGAGTTTCCAAGTGGGAAATGTTCAGCAGACAGTTGATTACACAATAAGCGAGAGAAAATAAGACTAGGAGCCATCCAAATAGAGAAGCAAGTAGAGACCACAGGAGCCAATATGCCCTCCTAGGGAGAGAATGCATCTAGAAATAGGGAACTGAGGAGTGAACTTTAGATCACACTCTTATTTTGCTGTATGAGAGCAACTTTTTTCTGATGATCCATTCCCAAATCCAACTCAAAAGGTCTCATTATCTTCCCTTCGAACCGGCTATTGATTGTGCCATTATCCTTAATTCAGTTCTGTAATTCAAACATCATTCTATCCCCCTACCACCACTTCCAATCAGTGTCTATATTTCATCAATAATTCCTTTATATCTTTTTTATTTCCTTTCCCACTGCCACCATCTTAATTTACTTCCTTGACTTTCATGTGTGAACCTGGTGCTGCTTCCTACTTTATCTATTTACAGGTTCCATCCACCACCTCACTGCAGTCTATCCCATAGACAGTGCCAACCTTTTAATCTTTCTAAAATGCTGCCTTTATCCTGGCCTTCCTAACCTTGATTAGTTCCAGTTGCTTCCATATCCCCTAATGTGCCCTTCAGGTACCTGAAAACCATCTGGACTGTCTACCTTTCTATTTCCTATTTCCCTATGGCTGAAGCACACTCACTCCAACCAAACCCCATAATAGTATTGCTGTTACCATGCCTGTGTCATTCTTTCCACCTTGAGAGACTTTCTGGCCACTATCTACCTATTTCTATTCCCTTTATTCTTCAATATCAAATCCCATATCTTAAATAATTGAAAACAAAGCACCTTAGTATATAGCAACTCAATACCTAACTCATACCTACAGGGATCTTATTCTCCTCTGAATTCCTACAACACATCATTTTGTATTTTCATCAGGAACATAAACACCAATTACACTTTAAGCTGTTTGAGCCCTAACCAAAGTCTCTGGACCCCTAGTTTTATTGCATTTTCAACTGAGTCATTTTCCTTCAGCCAAGACCTGATGGAAACCAGCACTCTCTACTCTAATCTCTGGTTGTTGAATATGACTCTCTGGAAAGAACCAGTATATTAGTCCATTCTCACATTGCTATGAGTAAATACCCAAGACTGGGTAATTTATAAAGGAAAGAGGTTTAATGGACTCATAGTTCAGCATGGCTGGGGAGACCTCAAGAAACTTACAATCATGGCAGAAGGCAAAGGGGAAGCAAAGCACCTTCTTCACAAAGCAACAGGAAGGAGAAGTGCAGAGCAAACCGGGAAGAGCCCCTTATAAAATCATCAGGTCTTGTGAGAACTCACTCGCTATCACAAGAACAGCATGTGGGAAACTGTCCCCATGATTCAGTTACCTCCACCTGGTCTCTCCCTTGACATATGAGTATTATGGGGATTACAATTTAAAATGAGATTTGAGTGAGGACACAAACCCTAACCATATCAGCCAGAGACCTCTAAAAAATTAGACTACACATCCTATCTACTTACTGTTTTTAATGGAAATGCCCATTGGTAGAGACTCATTAATCCTGCTGTAAACCCTCTAAGTGGTCTTTATTGGTATCTCCCCAGAAGTATTTGTTGGCAGTTGCTCCTGAATGAGCCTTAGGTACAGGATATTGACTTCAGTCCACATTGGCCAAGATTCTTGTTGATCATGGCTTTCATAATAAACTCCTAGCTATTTTCAGCAGCAATAGGGTTCTCAGGGGTTCATCGGCATCTCAAAGTTTGACTTTGATACTGTTACATTCCCAGAACCAATTCTAGGGGGCAGTCCACAGCAGAATGCCTAAAAATGTTTCTCATCCTTTCCGTAGCATAAGAAAGCTGTTTCAAGGAACATGCTCATCATTCGGTGCCACTGCATTTATGGAGCAAGGCAGTGGAATATGACCCTTATCACACTCCTGATCATCTCCTTAGCCTCCTGTAGTGGTCCACTGACTCCCGCTAGGGCTCTCTATGGGGTTCATACCCTCAGCAGGAGTAGTGCTCCTGCAGTTGCAGGGTAAAGCCTGCCACTTCCTCTTCACTGCATTGAAATTCAAATAATTTGAGAAATAGACAAAATTCAAATATCTTTTTGCTTCTCTCTTCGTTTTGCACAGAATCAGCTAGGCAATCAAGTCCCAAAGATGGCTCTGTATATATCCTATAATTTTCCAAGCAAAATATTCAAACTGAACCCTAGAAGTGATTCAGTCATAGTCATACACTTTTAAAATGTTAAATGCCATTTAACACGTGAGCATTTTATTATGTAGCTTTTGGGTCTTTCCCATTACCCCAATATAGCTTAAATCCTTCAAGAGTAGAAAACATATATCTTTCTGTTCTCTCACATGGGCTGGCATGGAACTAGGATATGGATCTAGTATTCTAGCATAAAACTAACTCCATGCAACCTATTAACATACAGTCCATAGCTAGTTCCACTAGCACTTAACTAAATCTATTCTGTGGGCTAGCATAGAGTTTAGAATAAATATTTGTTAAATAAATGAATAAATACTATATAAAGTATTTATTCCAAATGCTTTCCAAATTCAAAATTTCATTTTTAATTTCCAAATATTACATTTATAATAGTTGTTAGGAAATATATTTAATTCCATTAGAATGCATTTGCATTTAGTTGTTTTTTGTTATTATTTTTGTGTATAGATAGGATCATGAGGATGCATAATGCTTTTAAACATAGACATCATCAGAGCTAATATTTTATACTTAAACAGAAGTTTTTTAACTATTTTATTAAGATAAAATAGCTTCTAAGGATATAACTTCTACCAACTTACCAAAATAAATAGGATATATAGAGTTTTTATTTATGCAGATATACTGATTGAGCTGTCTGTCCAAGGACTAGATTATACAATAGGTTGTATTATATAACCAGTATTATATAATACTATCCAAGGGCTAGACGAAAATTTATTTTAATACACATTCAAACTAAAATAAAAAATAAAAATAAAATAAAATAAAATAAAAACACTAGTATATTTCTACAGGGTTGCAAAACATGGGAAGTCCTGGACAGGTAATATTTTGAAAGCATTTACTGAACCAAATGTGCTTTAAGACTCAAGACATAAAACATGAAGATTGATTTACTTAGGACAATAAGCAGAAGACCTGTCCCTATATGATTTTGTAACATTTGTAGCTCTCTGAAGTATACTCATTAATGTTCTGCTACTTCAAATGTATAGTGACAAACACAGGTCACCATGAAGTCATTGTAAAATATTCTGCTTAAGGCTTTATTATCTTGCACAACTTTAATTCACACCTTCTTTTATAATTGCAAAAGGCTATAAAAATTTGAAAAACCTTATCACGAGTGTATATAATTGAAGCAGATAATACATATATACAAAGGATGAAGAGAAGACCTCTTACTAAATGACCTTTTATCATTTTGTTGTTACACTTTCTAAAAGTAACAAACCAAGTGAATAATCTCTTTCTTACAGTAGGAACTGGCAGGCTTCACACTTAGAATCTGAGGTAATTACTATAGCCTGCAGTAGTCCTTTCAGACGAGAACAGATACTGTGATTTGTGTCTCAAATATTCATTCTAATTTAAAATGTCATTCCCTAAGAAGCACATTGAGTTGATAACTGACTTCATTTTCTAATGCATGGCAGAATTTGGCAGAAAATATTTTCTTAAAATTATTGCCTATTAAGATTACAGTATAGCACAGACAATCCAATACTTTTTTTAAAGTCTCATTTTTACTTCTTTTTTTTTAATCTCTTAAGATGCTAGAACCTACTAGGCTTCATAAAAGAAGTACTCACTTTGATATTTAAAACAGACAAGTAGCTAAAATAACACAACACCTATTTTAGTTTTAAAATATTTCTTCAACTTTCTTCACTATTCCTTCCATATTAACATCACCTTCCCTTGCCTAGAGTATGATAGATTGTCCAGGCCCTGGTTAGACCTGAATAATTCACTAGCTTGTGCATCATCTTGTGTGAGCAAAAAGCTAAGTTTCAACAAATTGATTGGAAAAAAAAAAGCTTTTCCTTACTTTTTTCATTTTTCCTTCAGGTTCTCCCAAGACAAACCTGTGGGCTTTTCACTCACACCATTTTCTACAAAGAATATCCAGGGGGTCCTAAAGAGCTGGATAAGAGTATCCAAGGAGGAGAACTTTTCTTCACTGTCGTCCTCAACCCTGTAAGTACTTTATTCTCCAAATAAATAGTGAAAAATGATAGGGCTGGCAAAAATTACCCTGGCAAAGAGGCTAGGGATTGGGCAGTCATCAGCCAAGCCAATATGAAGTTCTAGCTCTGAAACAGTAGTAAAAACTAAATGGAACCACATCTAGAAATGGGAACAAACCAATTCTACAAGTAGCAGTAACATGAGGAACTCATGGCAGAACCAGGGAAGTGCTCCAGCGGATCCTCCTTTGCATTGCAAAGTGATCAGAAGCTTTCATGGGGAATAAAATTTTTCACCTGTAAAACTCTCCTATTTCCACGGGGAACCATTTTTTTTTCCATTTAGACAACAGTTACCTCTATTATTATTTTTATTTTACTATTTAAAGTTAACGTAGAAGCAAAATAGTAGAGGAATTAGGTAAGCAAATCTAGTTATATTTTCTACTTCATGTTAGATTCGTCTTGCTAGGTCATAGGCTGAAGCAGAGCAGGCCTATTTAATGGGCTACTTTTTTTTTTTTGAGATGGAGTCTCACTCTGTCACCCAGGCTCGAGTGCAGTGGCGCCATCTCGGCTCACTGCAAGCTCCGCCTCCCGGGTTCACGCCATTCTCCTGCCTCAGCCTCCCGAGTAGCTGGGACCACAGGCACCTGCCACCACACGGGGCTAATTTTTTGTATTTTTAGTGGAGACGAGGCTTCACTGTGTTAGCCAGGATGGTCTCAATCTCCTGACCTTGTGATCTGCCTGCCTCAGCCTCCCAAAGTGCTGGGATTACAGGCGTGAGCCACCACGCCTGGCCGGGCTACTCTTTTACTTCTTCATACTTGTGTGTCAGCTCCACAATGAACCATTTGCATATATTTCTGCTTGAGGCAAGTATTAGAAAGTTGTGTAGAGAAAGAACAAATGGAAGTAAGCTGCATAAGGAAAAGAAGGGATTTTATTTCCCTTTTGAAAATCACTATCATAAAAAGTAAAGCTAAGTTTATTTATCAGAAGATGTATGGGTTTGCCCTTGGCATTGGCAATATTCAAGATGGAAAAAAAATTATTATTTCCAAATGTAAAAAAAAAAAATTATCAGTGAAAAAAGTTGGATAGGGATAAATTGAATAAAATTTGCAAAACCCCTCTCTTGACCTTAGTTTTATAGTCCCTGCAAATAAAATTGCAGATAGTGTTCACCATCTACTTGTATTCAAGGAGATTTATTGTGCTCAATTCTGCTTGTATTCATCACTATACCTATGTTTTAACTCCTAGAAAATGAGATAGAAGAAAGAGTAACTCATCTTTGGACAAAACCTGCTCGTGTATTCAAAAATGGGGATAGTTTGGAGGAATGTGATATTTGGACTTTTGAAAGTTTATCAACCTTCAGATCCCAAAAATACAAATAAGTCTGGTTTGAACATCAGAAATATAATAACTCTTCTAACTTACCTATTTTCACAAATGGAAGTATTTTGAGTCTCCTTATACAGCTTTCTTCTCTTTTTTCTCAATTCAGCCAGTACAGTAATATACAGTCAAAAAGAGTTAAACCAATGCCTGGTTATGAACTGAAGAAGCAGTTAAAACACTCTTAAAATGCTAACATTTTCACCAATAATTTTAAGCACTTTAATCTATCATCTGTAAAATTCTGATGTTTCACATTTACTTTCATCATAGAGCAACAGAAGTATTAACAAATAATCATGAACTTCTTAAAAGTTCACAGTAGGATTTTATCTCCGAATTTCTAAACCAAATGAGTTTCATTTAGTGTGGAAGAAATTCAAAGTTAAATCATTCATGTACAATGGATTTATACTAAGAATTTCATCCATTTTGTGATAAGAAATATTACATTTTTTATTAATTTAAAAACCAAACTATTGTCTTTGTTTTTAAAAACCTTACAGTAAAGTTTATGTTAATCTTGGACACTAATTGGACTAACTGAGCAAATTCCTTAACAAACCTCGCTATTTTTCAGGCCTTTATGAATGATATTTGGCAATTTTATGTCTTGAGGAGGAGATTCATAAGAATAAAGGTGGCAGGTTGGGGGAGCCGCACAAAACTTGTTCTTTCCTGATTCAGAAAACTTTCAGTAGACAATTACTTTCAGAAAAAAATCCCTAGACTCAAAATAAATGACAAATCTTGTCAGATGCCACAAGACAGACAAGGAACCCAAAGCTAACGTTATCTGGCACACCAACTCTAATACTGGAAGCAATTCTACTCACCTGGAAACAAAAGGTTAAGAAGCCCACATCTGGATTCAGCCCACATCTAGCCGGAGGCCGGACTACTATAATTAGTTAGTGATGTCTGTCTTGGAGAACAGAGTAAGGAGTAGTGGCATGTTTCCCATGAATTCTCCATCCTGAAATTAAGTGCTTGGACAAAGTTTGTATTGAAACTAAGGAAGATCCAGATGCAGTAAGGCATGCCAGTAATTTAGCAGATGACATTTTTTATTAGGCCAGGATGGAAATGAGAAAACCTTGATGGAATCAAAGTATACATTAGCTGCAGGAAAGTCATGAATTTTAATTATAGTGGATTTGAAAGATAGCCATTGTAAGTTTAAGTAATACCCCAGGCCTCAATTAGAAGTGCCATTTTCTGAGAATGCCAAGTGAGGTTATCGTTTACTACAAAAAGATAGATGTGTATTGGAAACATGGCACTTAAATACATTCACATACATTTGAGCTGAAAACAAAAATATAAACAGGACTTTAATTAATGAGGGTTTTAAGTTTTTCCCATATGTCAACATAATATCAAGGTGCTATACTAACTTACCAGTACTGGGGTGAGAAAGGGTTACAATAAGGTGCCCCTCAGAGTTAAACTGGAAAGATCACAGCAAAGGTAAAAAAACCGTTAAACAGAATAACTCTCTGGCCTGAAATGTTCTAATGTTACCAAAATATTTGTCATGTAAAAGAAAGAAGTATCAATCAAGTGAATTTAACAAAATAGAGAATTACAAAGACAAATGTTAGCACTGTCTGGGGAAGAGAAAACTTTGGTCATCTCTAAATGAGCTTTTCCAATGTCACAGGCCTGGACAACTCTCACGTAAGCTGGATGCAGGGGTTTTGATTAATAGACTTTGAAGTTTAGATCCATTTGGGGGAGGTGGACCTAGCAGGCTATCTGAGCCTGGAACCATTGAGATTTCCATTTTTCTAATACTACTTTTCCTGATTCTAAACCCAACTGATGACTTCCTCATTATGGTTTACTTTCCCACGTAGATCCTACTATAGGAAAAGAATATGTTAATCATAGGAACTTGTACTCTCTGGGACAATAATTTGCAATATAATTTTATAAGTTTTATTTTAATTGATCAATACTTCCCATGTAACCGGACTACCTGGAAAGAGCCCTCTAATTGTATAGACAGTAATTGAAGAGTATTTCAGTTCCTCTCTAATTTATAATTACCCATTTTAAACTAATAGATGGTATCCTGCTTTTATTCATTGGTTTCATGAGCTTTTGCTAATCTGATTCTGCCCCAGAAAAATACTGACTCTCTCTGCAAGTGTACTGAATCAGGTTTTGGAGCCTGTCGGTCAGAAACAGACCTCAGAGTGTTCGTTGATTAAGGATGGTAATGAGAGTTACCTCATGATATACCATGGGAGAGAGCCACTGGAAGTACCCCAGAGTCACTGCTAGCAACACACAGGCATGAGATTTCTACACAAACATGTAATATACCTAGATACAAACATTCTTGATCAATTTACAATTATACAGAGTACTCATATATATTTTCAAAAATTGTGATATTCTATTTACTTTAGATACTTATATAAAATAAAATGCAGAAGGGTACTAAGAACTGAAACTTATGAAGATAACAAAAAGGATTAATTGGCAATGACTGCATCTGCCCTCAATAAATAAAACTCTATATATGACGTATATACTTAGACAAAAGGAACTAGTACGACTATAGTGTTCATTTTAACAAGTTTCCAGTTCCACCTATCTTAGGAAGATGCAGTAATAGTTAATTAATATGCTGATTGGAAAAGTTCCGGCTTAGACAGGTTTGTACTTCTTGTGGGAGCCATATTATCATCTCATATGCACTAAACAAAAATGTCACTTTTTTGCTTCAGGGTTCTTATCTCTAATCACAAGATGTTATGAGTCTTTGCTTATGCACTTGTTGAATAAATAGACTCCAGGTATTGAGTCATTAACAACTATAGATATAGAACACTTTGCCTCCCTTCAACATGCTTGATAATAAAGTCAGTGCTTACCTATTAATCCAAAAAAGCAGCTGTGGATTGCCACAAGATTCATGCCAATGGGCCAGGCGCAGTGGCTCACGCCTGTAATGTCAGCACTTTGGGAGGCCAAGGTGGGCAGATCATGAGGTCAGGAGATCAAGACCATCCTGGCTAACACGGTGAAACCCTGTCTCTACTAAAAATACAAAAAATTAGCCAGGCGTGGTGGCAGGCGCCTGTAGTCCCAGCTACTCAGGAGGCTGAGGTAGGAGAATCACTGGAATCCAGGAGGCAGAGGTTGCAGTGAGCCAAGATCACGCCACTGCACTCCAGCCTGGGCGACAGAGCGAGACTCTGTCTCAAAAAAAATGCGCGCCAATACTACACTTGCTTGGAATTCAGGTGAAGCAAATCCCTGACCATGTAACAATATTGTGCCTCCTTCATCAAACCATTAACCATCCCACAGAACCATTAGCTAACCCCTTTATGCACGCATTTTATTAAATGCTTTTTGTCTCTCTGTTTCTCAATTTGATATAGCATACTTCCACCATACCCTACATACCCTCCTACTCAAATCCCTAAAAGTTAAATCTAAATTGTGTTTCTCTTATTATAAACATGGATGTGAATAGAGTGAATATCTTAAACTAGGATTAACACATAGATTGATTACAACTAAAATAAATAAAACAGAATTCACTCAAGAAGAAAGCCTTTATAAAAAGAAATTAACCCACATTGAAATTGAAAAAAAATACTGTAATTTTATATGTGTATGTGCTTTTCTCTAAAATTCATCTGAAAGGAAATAATACATTGACCTAATGGGAAGTTTTATGTTTCTTTTTTTGTTCGCTAGTTCTGGAACACATTCTAATAATAGGAGACCCTTCGCTGAAAAATAAATAAATGATAATAACTTTAGACCTAGAAAAGTAATTCCTGGTCTAACGTTTAAGTCTTTAATCCATCTTGAATTGATTTTTGTATAAGGTGTAAGGAAGGGATCCAGTTTCAGCTTTCTACATATGGCTAGCCAGTTTTCCCAGCACCATTTATTAAATAGGGAATCCTTTCCCCATTGCTTGTTTTTCTCAGGTTTGTCAAAGATCAGATAGTTGTAGATATGCAGCATTATTTCTGAGGGCTCTGTTCTGTTCCATTGATCTATATCTGTGTTTTGGTACCAGTACCATGCTGTTTTGGTTACTGTAGCCTTGTAGTATAGTTTGAAGTCAGGCAGCGTGGTTCCTCCAGCTTTGTTCTTTTGGCTTAGGATTGACTTGGCGATGCGGGCTCTTTTTTGGTTCCATATGAACTTTAAAGTAGTTTTTTCCAATTCTGTGAAGAAAGTCATTGGTAGCTTGATGGGGATGACATTGAATCTCTAAATTACCTTGGGCAGTATGGCCATTTTCACGATATTGATTCTTCCTACCCAAGAGCATGGAATGTTCTTCCATTTGTTTGTATCCTCTTTTATTTCCTTGAGCAGTGGTTTGTAGTTCTCCTTGAAGAGGTCCTTCACATCCCTTGTAAGTTGGATTCCGAGGTATTTTATTCTCTTTGAAGCAATTGTGAATGGGAGTTCACTCATGATTTGGCTCTCTGTTTGTCTGTTGTTGGTGTATAAGAATGCTTGTGATTTTTGTACATTGATTTTGTATCCTGAGACTTTGCTGAAGTTGCTTATCAACTTAAGGAGATTTTGGGCTGAGACAATGGGGTTTTCTAGATATACAATCATGTCGTCTGCAAACAGGGACAATTTGACTTCCTCTTTTCCTAATTGAATACCCTTTATTTCCTTCTCCTGCCTAATTGCCCTGGCCAGAACTTCCAACACTATGTTGAATAGGAGTGGTGAAAGAGGGCATCCCTGTCTTGTGCCAATTTTTAAAGGGAATGCTTCCAGTTTTTGCCCATTCAGTATGATATTGGCTGTGGGTTTGTCATAGATAGCTCTTATTATTTTGAGATATGTCCCATCAATACCTAATTTATTGAGAGTTTTTAGCATGAAGGGTTGTTGAATTTTGTCAAAGGCCTTTTCTGCATCTATTGAGATAATCATGTGGTTTTTGTCTTTGGTTCTGTTTATATGCTGGATTACATTTATTGATTTGCGTATATTGAACCAGCCTTGCATCCCAGGGATGAAGCCCACTTGATCATGGTGGATAAGCTTTTTGATGTGCTGCTGGATTTTGTTTGCCAGTATTTTATTGAGGATTTTTGCATCAATGTTCATCAAGGATATTGGTCTAAAATTCTCTTTTTTGGATGTGTCTCTGCCCGGCTTTGGTATCAGCATGATGCTGGCCTCATACCATAAAAACCCTAGAAGAAAACCTAGGCATTACCATTCAGGACATAAGCACGGGCAAGGACTTCATGTCTAAAACACCAAAAGCAATGGCAACAAAAGACAAAATTGACAAATGGGATCTAATTAAACTCAAGAGCTTCTGCACAGCAAAAGAAACTACCATCAGAGTGAACAAGCAACCTACAAAATGGGAGAAAATTTTCACAACCTACTCATCTGACAAAGGGCTAATATCCAGAATCTACAATGAACTCAAACAAATTTACAAGAAAAAAACAAACAACCCCATCAAAAAGTGGGCGAAGGACATGAACAGACACTTCTCAAAAGAAGACATTTATGCAGCCAAAAAACACATGAAAAAATGCTCACCATCACTGGCCATCAGAGAAATGCAAATCAAAACCACAATGAGATACCATCTCACACCAGTTAGAATAGCAATCATTCAAAAGTCAGGAAACAACAGGTGCTGGAGAGGATGTGGAGAAATAGGAACACTTTTACACTGTTGGTGGGACTGTAAACTAGTTCAACCATTGTGGAAGTCAGTGTGGCAATTCCTCAAGGATCTAGAAGTAGAAATACCATTTGACCCAGCCATCCCATTACTGGGTATATACCCAAAGGACTATAAATCATACTGCTATAAAGACACATGCACACGTATGTTTATTGCAGCATTATTCACAATAGCAAAGACTTGGAACCAACCCAAATGTCCAACAATGATAGACTGGATTAAGAAAATGTGGCACATATACACCATGGAATACTATGCAGCCATAAAAAATGATGAGTTCATGTCCTTTGTAGGGACATGCATGAAATTGGAAATCATCATTCTCAGTAAACTATCGCAAGAACAAAAAACCAAACACCGCATATTCTCACTCATAGGTGGGAACTGAACAATGAGAACACATGGACACAGGAAGGGGAACATTACACTCTGGGGACTGTTGTGGGGTGGAGTGAGAGGGGAGGGATAGCATTGGGAGATATACCTAATGCTAGATGACGAGTTAGTGGGTGCAGCGCACCAGCATGGTACATGTATACATATGTAACTAACCTGCATATTGTGCACATGTACCCTAAAACTTAAAGTATAATAATAATAAAAAAAAGAAATATTAAAAAACAACAACAACAACAAAAATAAAATAAAATAAAAGTAATTCCTGAACATGCCTAATAGTGAGTACTGCCTGAGATGCTTGAATTTTAGAAATCAAACTTAATGCATCAGAATCTCTAGGATTGACCTAGGGGCTCTACATACTCACCATGCGCTTTAGGTAAATGTTAGGATCAGGCAAATAGAGAAATATTGCCGAGGAAGAAAATGGAGAAGTAATTTTGGTAATCAAAGATTACCAAAAACTGTTATAGAAATTGTAAACCTAGAATCAAGGTTTCAGAATGGAAAATGGCTCCAAATCTGCAATAGAACTTTAAAAAACAGTAAGAATTAATGTTTTCCTAAGTGACCAGAGAACTCTACCTTAAACTGGATTTTAAAATAGTGTTTACTGCTGTTCATCCCAAAAACTTAGTGTAGGGGTCACCTTCCTCAGGAAACTTTTTCTACTCTGATTTAGAGGCCCCTCCTGCGTTTCTATAGCATCCTCTGCAGACTCTTTCAAAGTATTTATTATCCTGCATCATAATTGTGGGTTGTATTAGCCTGTACGCTTGTGGTTGTAGAGAATGTGTCTGTCATTTCCAAAACTATCCCAGTGTCTAAACATAATATGTTTTACCTAGTTTTTTATTTTGCATATATTTGTTAAGGAAAAGAAATTAACTTTTCTAATGAACTGATTTAAAAAGAAAAATGAATCTATTCATAAAAGGAAATCCGAGTCCTCGTAAGAAAATTCTCAAATCAAAAGCATAAGGAAAACCTGTTTCCTGAATTCACTGGGGCTGAATTATGTATCGTTGTGTTCTGTTCTTTACACATGCATTTGTCTTCCTGTATAGAGACTCATTTGTGTTGAGTTGATATAGTTTAAAGACTAGAGGCTCATTCAAGTTACCTCAGGTAATGGGACTCCAGAAAGTAATATTACTTCAAGTAATGTGGGACTCCAGAAAGCTACACATTCAGGAATCATAGGACCTAGAGGGTGTTCTGAGACCAAGGTAGCTGTAAGGTCCATAAAAATCAGAATTTCTTTAAAACTTATGAATTGTTTATTATTGAAATTTTTCATTTAATTTTTCTGGACCACAGTTGACAATTGGTAACCAAAACCCTGGAAAAGGGGCCTACTGTAAATATTTTTCTGATGAGGTCGCTTTACTTACAATAGAAATAAAACTTTAAACAAGGTAAAGAAAAAAATGAGAAATGCTAATATTAATCTTGCCTTAGTGCTTTATTTTGAACCCAACAGATGCTTTTCACATGTCTAACTTTCTCTTTTCTGTACTCCTGACTAAATTAATATTCCTTCAAAAAAAGTGCTGCTTGTTTACGGTTTCTGCAGTAGTTAATTAATCTTACAAATGGCCCAATATGAATGCATCAGATATTCTCCATATCAAGATTCAGCTCCAGTTCTAACTGCTGACTGCCTCGTCCGCTGGATTCTCAGGTCGAATTTCCAAGCAAGGGAATCCACTTGCTTCAGCTCACCTTTCTGAGTCAGCCCATATCAGTCCTGGCCTTCTGTGAAATGTCCATTCTTGGTTCATATCCCCACATGCCCCCCACTTCTAAACTATGACTGAGCAACGGCTACCTGAGAACCATCCTTCCAGCAAAGGCTTGCAAAGGCAGGTGCGATGGCAGCTATCTATCTTGATCTGAATCCTGTGAGAACAGTCATTATGGTTTCTAGCCAATCCCACAGATTTGGGAGTAAACTGAACCTCTTTGGAGAGGCTCAAAAGATTCATTTTGAAGCTTGCAAAGTCTAAGTAGAATAAGTAGCTCTCTTAGATGGGACCAGCTAATTTTATCATTTTATTATATGTATTGCTCCATACCCACTTGGAATGCAAGTTCCAATAGGCATTTATATCTTGTGTTTTGTTTACTCTAAACCTCAACACTAGGAAGAGTTATGGCATTATAAGGTACTTAAAAAATATTTTATAAATGAATGAATGAACTTAAATGTCCAAAAGGGAGCAGCGGAGTGGCCAGTAGCAAAATAAATTATGTTCACCCTTATGTAATAAAATACATTATGTAATAAAATACGCTATATAATAAGGTACATTCAGGCATTTAAAACATGTTGTGTAATAAGTTTGGCTGGGTGTGGTGGCTCATGCCTTTAATACCAGCACTTTGGGATGCCAAAGCGGGTGGATCACCTGAGTTCAGGAGTTCCCTGACCAGCCTGGCCAACACTGTGAAACCCAGTCTATACTAAAAATACAAAAATTAGCCGGGCGTGGTGGTGCATGCCTGTAATCCCAGCTACTTGGGAGGCTGAGGCAGGAGAATTGCTTGAACCCGGGAGGCGGAGGTTGCAGTGAGCCGAAATCGCACCACTGCACTCCAGCCTGGGCGACAGAGAGAGACTCCATCTAAAATAATAATAATAATAATAATTTTAATGACGTGAAATATTCATGATCTTCTCAATGGGAAAAGTAAATTACAAGAAAATGAGATATGAGTATGGAAATAAACTAGAAAGAACTCAGCAGATTGTTAGCAGTAGTTATCCTAGATCACACAATTGAAGATGATTTCCATTATCTTCCTCTAATTTTTATAAAATATCTATAGTGAACACCTATTAGTGTTATAACCAGAAACTTCATACACATGTACACACACAGAGACACAACACACACAGAGTTACACAATAAATGCTACACTAAAAATAATAATAATCACTTAATAGTGATGTACATAAAATGGAATTATTTTGTGTTGTTGGTATATCAGGAATAGAATTTCTATTTACTCAGTTCCAATTGTTCTGTATCTGTAAGTCACATATGTTGCCTAACACCTGCCCCACAGTGTGATTATTTGTGTGTGCATCTTTTCTACTGTATAATGGGGCATTCTTATTACAGAGGTAATCTGTGTGTGTTTCATCTTTGTGCTTTCCATTGTGTCTAGATCAATGTTTGAATCTAATAAGAGGTTGCTAAATGTATTTTAATGATTGACTAAACGCATGAAGAGTTATATTTCAGGGGCATGACTTGCTTTAAGGTATATCCAAATGTGAATAGCAAGCCTAGTTTTAATAAAACTACATTTGGCAGAGTCTCTGCTTGCAAGTAAATGAAATTTAGACTTCAGAAAATGTTTGAATGGCCCTAAATCTTTAGCAGGTTTTCATAAGTGATGATGAAATTTACCTGACACAGAACAAAGGACTATTAAACTGGAAAAGACCAGGAAGGTTATCTATCAATCTTTTAATTTTTGATGGAGAACTAGAATTCCAAAAAGATTATTTAGTTCACTGCAGGTCACTTCTATAGTATTCCGACCAGAACTCTGTTCTTCCTGACTCTCAGTTCACCACTTCACCCGCTACAACACACTGTTTCTGCACGCCTGGCTAAATTGGTCTTGACGTGATGTACATTCCTTCTTAATATGAGTCAGTGACCTGGTACTGGGAAAATCTGTGAGTGGTTTAACATGTCAGGCTATTGTCTAAGAAAAAGCAAACCATCTCCATGTAGGGTTAAAAAGCAAAAAAATAGTGCTTTTGAGAAAAGCTGTAATAAGCACTTGCAGTTAAGGAAAAATGTCTAATGTACTTTTAAAGAACTACGAATAAAGAACTATGTTCTCTTTATCTTAATACATTGTATTGATATTACTTATAAAATGGTAAGACTTTTAAATTTATAAAGCCAAAACATTTTATTTCATCTTTTTGCTATCCTCCATATTAGCCCTATTTTTCTATTATTAATGTTCTTCATCACTAACTGTGGTGTTAGATACAGCAGGTCCTTAAATAATGTTGTTTCATTTAATATCATTTAGTTATAATGTTGATAAGGAAAACATCAGTTCCCATCCAGGGCCAATCTGTGTGTAGTTTGCACATTCACCCCATGTCTATGTGGGTTTTCTCCTGATACTCTGGTTTCTTCCTACATCCCAAAAATGTGCACATCAGGTTAATTGTCCTGTATAAATTGTGATGGAATACCATATTGTCCAGGGTTGGTTCTTGCCTTGTGCCCTGAACTGCCAGGATAGGCCCTGGCCCCCAAGCAATCCTAAACTGGAATAACTGGGTAAATGATTATCTTACTTGTTTTTATTACTCTTTCCTAAATATATGTAGAGCTAACATTTATTTCAATGTTTAATATTAAAGTTCTTTGGTTCCTATTTAGAAGCTGGGTGATGTTTTGGGGGCCAGAAATATGTCATAGGAAATTAACTCTTGTTTAGATTATTTAACCAATGGTAAAATTGGTTTTGTTATATGTCATTTGGTTTACAGTTTCAGTTTCCAAGAACCTACCAATAACATTAAGTGAGAACTTACTGTAATTACTTGTCACTCTGAGATTAAGAAAACCACAAGAAAGCATGATTAAGTTGTGCTTTTTATTTGACCTCCATAGTTAAGAAAAATAGGAGTTTTTGGAATGGATATTATCTTAAAATGTAAGAAAATAGATATTAAGTTGGAGAAATGAATATTATGTTATTCTTTGTTCAATCCTTTGATAGTTTCCCATAGCAATCAATGACACCCAGTAGCAAAGATTTTAATTCCTACATACTAAATACAAAGTGCTCAGATTTTAATTCCTAAATACTATTTCTAGCATTCAGGATAGACAGAAAATTTCTTCACTTGAAAAAAATCAAATCTGGCTCCTGTCCACTTTTCTCATCCTTTTTTTCAATAATTTCTTATATGCACCTTTCACTCCACCCATACAGAATAATTCATAGTACCTTGAACAAAACTTTGTACTATCTCACTCTATGTCTTAAAGTGCTATCACCTCAAGCTGGAATGCCCTCCTGCAAATTTGAACTCATACATCATTTTTTTAAAGAAGACATCCCCAACCCTCCAGCTTGATTTCTAAGGTTTCTCCTCTGTGTTCTCATGGTACTCAGGCATAACCCAATTATAATTTGCCTACAGTCCTATAATCAATTATCTTTACCTTCCAGTAATTTTTGACTTCCTTGATGGAAGACATCATGCCTTATTCTATTTTACATTCACAGTACACTGCAAAAGTTTTGGCACATAGTAGGTTCTAAATAAAAGACAATGTGTTTCCCATGACTTCCCATGACTACATACATACTATCTTTGGAATTTGAAAGAAATTTGGTTGCCTTGGAAGTACCTCACCACAGAATTCACTTGATTACAGAGGGTTTGAGTAACTGGTTTTTATTGTCTCCCAACATGGCATTTTATTGAAGTCATTGAGTTTATGAGAATATGCTCAGTTTCACTCATAATAAGAAAAATGCAAAGTAAGATTATATTGAGACACTATTTCTTACCTACCAGATTAACAAAAATTCAAATGATTGCTAAGATATTCTGTTAGCAAGTCTGTGGGAAAACAGGTACTCTCATACATCCTAGTGCGTGAGCAAATGGTACAACCCTAATGGAAGAAATTTAACAACATCTAACAAATCTACATAGCACTTGCTCTTTGCTGCAGAAATTCTACCTTTAGGACTCTACCTTAAAGAAGGAATTACCACAAAGTCAATTTTTTAATGAACAATCTGAGTGCAAACCATTTTTTCAGTTATTCATTACCGGATTATTTGTACATCAAATAGTGGGAACAACCTAAACATCCATCCATAAGAGACTAGTTAAAAAAATCTGTGGTATAGCCATACAAGAGACTACTATACAAATAAAATTAAGAAGATTTTGATGTGCTATGATTTCCACAATACATTAAGGGAGGAAAAAGTGGGCAATCTGAATACATATTGATATTTACCTACTTGTACGAAAAGAAATACAGGAAAAACACACCAAAAATAATAAAAGTGTTTTGTTAATTATTAATAGAAATTTTAAAAATTTAAATTATTAATAAAAAGAAAACTACATTTAAAATGGGGGGATGGTGGGATGAGAGCAGAAAAGTAAGGGGGTGAGTGGGAGAAACACTTCACTACGTACATTTTTTACACAGTTTTGTTTTTGTTTTTTTTTTTTTTTGAGACAGAGTCTCACTCTGTTACCAAGGCTGGAGTGCAGTGGCGTGATCTCAGCTCACTGCCTCCGCCTCCCAGGTAGCAGCGATTCTCCTGCCTCAGCCTCCCGAGTAGTTAGGACTACAGGTAGGTGCCACCATGCCCGGCTAATTTTTTGTATTTTTAGTAGAGACAGGGTCTCACTGTGTTAGCCAGGATGGTCTCGATCTCCTGACCTCATGATCCACCCACCTCAACCTCCTAAAGTGCTGGGATTGCAGGCATGAGCCACCTAGCCCAGCCTATAGCTTTGATTTTGAACCATGAAATGTTTTACATATAGTCAAAATAATAAATGAAAAGGATGAGGGAGAGATAAGCAAACCTGAAAATTGAAGACAAATGAACAAATAAACCTAACATGGATGTGTATGTAATATATTACACAAAATAATTAATTAAAATAATTTTGAGTACAGTATTCTAACTGCATACGTTTAGTGAAATATAGGACAAAAGTCTGCATGGAAAATATAAACTTTATTAATAAATTTTTGTTGAATTATGAAACATTTCTCATGTATTGTCAGATAGAAAAAAATAAATGAATATATTGATGCTGTTGGGAACTGAGTTTTCGCCATAAAACGAATAAAAATATGGAAAGAAGGATAATAAGAGAGAATTAGAGTATTTAAATTTGAAATGAGGAGATTAATAAGAACTTAAGGTTTCCTACCTCTATCTAGAATCAATGACACTTAGTAGCAAAGAGCTCAGCTAGTGCTCAAATTTTAATTTCTAAATACTATTTCTCCCCAAAAGTAAGTGGGCTTTTTGGAGAAAAGGCTAAATTCAAGTCAGATACATGGAAAGTACAAATTGAGTCTGGAACACCTTGTACCAGAAAAAAGGGAAACAGTCACTCAAAGACTAACAAGCTTGTATTAAACAGGACAGAAATCAGCTAAAAGTGCTCTTGATATGAGATAATTTTAGCATGAAAAAAATGGAGGTTATAGACATACTCAAAGTATGAAAAAAGAAGGAGAGTTCTTCTGTAGAAAAGACACCAGTGCCAGCTGATGAATTCAGGTAGAATGATGGAATTCAAAGATCATCATTTTGCAGACACCAATGAAAACAATTGATTGAAAAAAGAAACATCAATAGTTGCTGAAACTTTTGGGTGAAAGATTACACAGCCTTAAGGTTTAATTCCATAGATTACTTATTAATTACAAAGAGAAAAATCATTCTTCACAATAGAGAAATCTGACAGTTTCTTACTGTACCCAAGTGATCAGACTTAACATCACCAAAGGTGGAGTAACTTAACAAGATAAGCTGATATTATGCACCTCCTGTGATTCAATACAAAATAAAGTAGGGTGACATCAGCAAAATGATGAAATAGAAAGTCCCATATCCTCCTTCCTTCCATAGAGTCATCAACTGAACAACAATACATGAATTAATTCCCTTTGTGAAAAATCCAGAAACAAATTAAGACACTGCTGGACCCCAGGCAAGCGCAAAACCAGCTGCATAGAGGCCAGTAAAAAAATTCACAACACTCACTTGCCATAGTCCCTTTCACTGACTCAGCAGAGAGCAACTGGAAGAAAACTCCCAGCTTCTAGCTTCTCCCACAGTCCCATAGGAGGAAAAGATTTGGCTTGTACATTTTTGTACATTGAACATTTAGGCTTTTGGCAGGGGACAGAGGGGCAGAAGGGTGGGTGGATGGTTGCCCGAGAAACTAGTTTTTATCTTATCTGTCTCCAAGTGCTGACAGGACCCAATATATTCTAGAAGCCAGGGGCTGCTGACAACAAAAGACAGCTTGGCAGCTTATAGCAGCTCCAGAGAACACCAGAAGGAGTAATAGATTACAAGGTCTTGGAAGAAAATCAACCAGTAAATCCCTCTAATTGAGAATTTACACACACAAGTCTATTGCAGATGTATCCACAGACTAGAGGTGAGAGGACCTCAGAATCTCTTACTTGGCTGATTGGTGAAGGTTTGTTCCTATACAAACCCTGTTTTTTACAGAGTGAGAGAGGAAGCTATTTTTTGAAATGCACAGACCACAACAAAAGGTAACAAGGCGCATTAAGAAAAAGGAAAATATAGACCAATCCAAGGAACAAAATAAGTCTCCAGAAACCAACTTAATGAAATGGAGAGATTAAATTACCTGACGAGAATTCAAAATAATCATCATAAAGATGTTCAATAAACTCAGGAGAAAAATGGATGAACAAAGTGAGAATTTCAACAAAGAAATAGAAAATATTAAAAATGGAATCAAATAGAAATCTCAGACCTGAAGAATAAAATAACTGAAGTGAAAAAATCACTACCTAGTTTTAATAGCAAACATGATTAAGCTGAAGAAAGAATCAGGGAACTTGAAGACAGGTCATTTGAAATTGCCCAGGGAGCAAAATAAAATAAAACAAAATAAACAGTGAAGAAAGTCTAAGGGACTTAGGAAACAACATCAAGTTTGCAAATATTTGTATTATGGGAGTCTCAAAAAGAGAAGAAAGAGAGAACAATGCAGAAAGCTTATTCGAAGAAATAATGGCCAAAACTTCCCAAATACGGAAAAGGAAGTAGAGATCCAAGTTCAAGAAGGCCAACAAACTCCAACTAGGAAGAACTCAAAGATAACCACACCAGAAAAGGTTATAATAAAAATGCCAAAATTCAAAGGATGTTAAAAGCAGAAAAAGAAAACTGATTCATCACATAAAAGGGAGCCTCCATAACACTATGAGGAGATATCTAGCAGAAACCTTTCAGGACAAAATGGAGAAGGGAGATATATTCAAAATGCTGAAAGAAAAAATAATTGCCAACTGAGAATACTATAGCCTGCAAAATTGTCCTTCAATAATGAAGGAGGAGCTTCTGCACAACAACAAAACTGTCAACAGAGTAAATAGACAGCCTACAAAATGGGAGAAAATATTTGCAAACTATACATCTGACAAAGGTCCAATAGCCAGTATCTATAAGGAACTTAAACAAATTTACAAGAAAAAAAAAAAACAACTTTATTTAAAAAGTGAGCAAGGGACATGAACAGACACTTTTCAAAAGAAGACATACATGTGGCCAATAAGCATATTAAAAAAGCTCAGTATCACTGATCATTAGAAAAATGTAAATCGCTTCATTTCATTCATTTCATCTTCCATCACTAATATCCTTTCCTCCAGTTGATCGCATCGGCTCCTGAGGCTTCTGCATTCTTCACGTAGTTCTCGAGCCTTGGCTTTCAGCTCCATGAGCTCCTTTAAGCACTTCTCTGTATTGGTTACTCTAGTTATACATTCGTCTAAATTTTTTTCAAAGTTTTTAACTTCTTTGCCTTTGGTTTGAATTTCCTCCTGTAGCTCGGAGTAGTTTGATCGTCTGAAGCCTTCTTCTCTCAACTCGTCAAAGTCATTCTCCGTCCAGCTTTGTTCCATTGCTGGTGAGGAACTGCATTCCTTTGGAGGAGGAGAGGTGCTCTGCTTTTTAGAGTTTCCAGTTTTTCTGCTCTGTTTTTCCCCCATCTTCGTGGTTTTATCTACTTTTGGTCTTTGATGATGGTGATGTACAGATGGGTTTTTGGTGTGGATGTCCTTTCTGTTTGTTAGTTTTCCTTCTAACAGACAGGACCCTCAGCTAGAGGTCTGTTGGAGTTTGCTAGAGGTCCACTCCAGACCCTGTTTGCCTGCGTATCCACAGCGGCAGCTGCAGAACAGCAGATTTTCGTGAACTGCGAATGCTGCTGTCTGATCATTCCTCTGGAAGCTTTGTCTCAGAGGAGTACCCGGCCGTGTGAGGTGTCAGTCTGCCCCTACTGGGGGATGCCTCCCAGTTAGGCTGCTCGGGGGTCAGGGTCAGGGACCCACTTGAGGAGGCAGTCTACCCATTCTCAGATATCCAGCTGTGTGCTGGGAGAACCACTGCTCTCTTCAAAGCTGTCAGACAGGGACATTTAAGTCTGCAGAGGTTACTGCTGTCTTTTTGTTTGTCTGTGCCCTGCCCCCAGAGGTGGAGTCTACAGAGGCAAGCAGGCCTCCTTGAGCTGTGGTGGGCTCCACCCAGTTCGAGTTTCCCAGATGCTTTGTTTACCTAAGCAAGCCTGGGCGATGGTGGGCGCCTATCCCCCAGCCTCGCTGCCGCCTTGCAGTTTGATCTCAGACTGCTTTGCTAGCAATCAGCGAGACTCCATGGGTGTAGGACCCTCCGAGCCATGTGAGGGATATAATCTCCTGGTGTGCCGTTTTTTAAGCCCGTCGGAAAAGTGCAGTATTAGGGTGGGAGTGACCTGATTTTCCAGGTGCCATCTGTCAACCCTTTCTTTGACTAGGAAAGGGAACTCCCTGATCCCTTGAGCTTCCCGAGTGAGGCAATGCTTCACCCTGCTTCTGCTCACACACGGTGCACTGCACCCACTGTCCTGCGCCCACTGTCTGGCACTCCCTAGTGAGATGAACCCGGTACCTCAGATGAAATGCAGAAATCACCCGTCTTCTGCATCGCTCACGCTGGGAGCTGTAGACCGGAGCTGTTCCTATTCAGCCATCTTGGGTAAAATACCTAGGAACCCAGCTTACAAGGGACGCGAAGGACCTCTTCAAGGAGAACTACAAACCACTGCTCAGTGAAATAAAAGAGGATACAAAGAAATGGAAGAACATTCCATGCTCATGGGTAGGAAGAATCAATATCATGAAAATGGCCATACTGCCCAAGGTAATTTACAGATTCAATGCCATCCCCATCAAGCTACCAATGACTTTCTTCACAGAATTGGAAAAAACTACTTTAAAGTTCATATGGAACCAAAAAAGAGCCCTCATTGCCAAGTCAATCCTAAGCCAAAGAACAAAGCTGGAGGCATCACGCTACCTGACTTCAAACTATACTACAAGGCTACAGTAACCAAAACAGCATGGTACTGGTACCAAAACACAGATATAGATCAATGGAACAGAACAGAGCCCTCAGAAATAATGCTGCGTATCTACAACTATCTGATCTTTGAAAAACCTGAGAAAAACAAGCAATGGGGAAAGGATTCCTTATTTAATAAATGGTGCTGGGAAAACTGGCTAGCCATATGTAGAAAGCTGAAACTGGATCCCTTCCTTACACCTTATACAAAAATCAATTCAAGATGGATTAAAGACTTAAACATTAGACCTAAAACCATAAAAACCCTAGAAGAAAACCTAGGCATTACCATTCAGGACATAGGCATGGGAAAGGACTTCATGTCTAAAACACCAAAAGCAATGGCAACAAAAGACAAAATTGACAAATGGGATCTAATTAAACTAAAGAGCTTCTGCACAGCAAAAGAAACTACCATCAGCGTGAACAGGCAACCTACAAAATGGGAGAAAATTTTCACAACCTACTCATCTGACAAAGGGCTAATATCCAGAATCTACAATGAACTCAAACAAATTTACAAGAAAAAAACAAACAACCCCATCAAAAAGTGGGCAAAGGACATGAACAGACACTTCTCAAAAGAAGACATTTATGCAGCCAAAAAACACATGAAAAAATGCTCACCATCACTGGCCATCAGAGAAATGCAAATCAAAACCACAATGAGATACCATCTCACACCAGTTAGAATGGCAGTCATTCAAAAGTCAGGAAACAACAGGTGCTGGAGAGGATGTGGAGAAATTGGAACACTTCTACACTGTTGGTGGGACTGTAAACTAGTTCAACCATTGTGGAAGTCAATGTGGCAATTCCTCAGGGATCTAGAACTAGAAATACCATTTGACCCAGCCATCCCATTACTGGGTATATACCCAAAGGACTATAAATCATGCTGCTATAAAGACACATGCACACATATGTTTACTGTGGCTCTGTTCACAATAGCAAAGACTTGGAACCAACCCAAATGTCCAATAATGATAGACTGGATTAAGAAAATGTGGCACATATACACCATGGAATACTATGCAGCCATAAAAAATGATGAGTTCATGTCCTTTGTAGGGACATGGATGAAATTGGAAATCATCATTCTCAGTAAACTATCGCAAGAACAAAAAACCAAACACCGCATATTCTCACTCATAGGTGGGAACTGAACAATGAGAACACATGGACACAGGAAGGGGAACATTACACTCTGGGGACTGTTGTGGGGTCGGGGGAGAGGGGAGGGATAGCATGAGGAGATATACCTAATGCTAAATGATGAGTTAATGGGTGCAGCACACCAGCATGGCACATGTATACATATGTAACTAACCTGCACATTGTGAACATATACCCTAAAACTTAAAGTATAATAATAATAAAATAAAATAAAATAAGAAAAATGTAAATCAAAACCACAGTGAGATA